>NC_000001.11:231941697-232093212 GCF_000001405.40 Homo sapiens
CTTGACCTCGTGATCTGCCTGCCTCAGCCTCCCAAAGTGCTGGGATTACAGGCGTGAGCCACCGCGCCTGGTCTGAAACTCGAATTCTAATGGGAAAGACAAAAATAAAAAACAAAAAATATATAATTGTTAAAAGGACTGCAGAGGCACCAGTAAAGGATCAGAGAGCAAATTATCAGGGTGGCAGCCAGCCAAGAACTGTAGGGGAAAGTGCCCTCAAAGGCGGGAACATTTAAGACAAGGCTTAAAGGATAAGCAAGCTGCCCCCACAGGGAGGGAGCAGAGCGTGCCAGACAGAGGATGGGGAAAGAGCTCCTGCAGTGGAGATGAGAAAACCAGACGTGTGATCTGGGGGCCGGGGGACGAGGTAACCAGGGGATGAGGGAAAGAGGGAAAAAACAAGCAAGGCTGACCATGCCCCACCTGAAGGTTTTGGGAAGGATTTGGATTTTATTCAAGATCCAGGGAAAGCCAGTGCAGGTATCAAGCAGGTTTTTCTGGGATCTACTTCCAGGAAGAAGGACAAGTATAAAAAGGTGCAGGGGAGGTGTAGGCTCCTCCCCTAAGAGGGAACCTGCTGGGTGGCCCTGTAGAAGACAGCAGTCATAGTTTCCATCAGAGCTGTGCATTCAACCTTCTCTATTTCCCAGCTGTGCTGCATGGAAACAGAAAATGGCATGGCCAGGCCAGGGGCAGTGGCTCCCGCCTGTAATCCCAGCACTTTGGGAGGCCAAGGCGGGCAGATTTACTTGAGGTCAAGAGTTTGAGACCACCGTGGCTAATATGGTGAAACCCCGTCTCTACTAAAAATACAAAAATTAGCCTGGCGTGGTGTCACATGCCTGTAGTCCCAGCTACTCAGAAGGCCCATGCAGGAGAATTGCTTGGACCTGGGAGGCAGAGGTTGCAGCGAGCCGAGATTGCACCACTGCACTCCAGCCTGGGCAACAGAGTGAGACTGTCTCAAAAATAAAATAAAGTAAAATAAATAAAAAAGAAAAAAAAGAAAACGCCATGGCCAGAGGCGCCACATTTTAGCTTCAGGAAACTGTGTTGAATACTCTGAGTTGTACCAGCAGGGACACTCCCAGCCGCCCATAGGTCCTTGTGCTGAGCACCGGGCATTGCCTCCTTCCTGCTTCTACCAGGAAAATTGCTGTCTGGGAGCCTTATAACACAGACTGCTGGGGTTTGTGGGAGATCAAGGATTATGTTCCCTGTGGACTAGTTTGAAAAGGTTGAAATTCAGCCCCTTCATAATGTCATGCTCGTAGCTAAGAAGGCTTGCCTTTTTCTCTTCCTTTGTCCATTTTAGAATTAACTGTGGATATCGGTAAAAGCAGCCTCACCACTAATACATGTGGGGCTGGGGCCGTGATACAGCCCAAGGCCCCTATACTATATATCTGCATATTTTCAGAGATAAATCAGTCTAGTAAATGGCTAAATATAGCATGTTCTATTGTCCTACCTTGATGCTTTAAAATGTATTATTCAGGCATGATGAGGCCAACAGATCAGGAGACAGCTGCCATTGAAAAGAGTTTGTTACTCACAGTTCCCAAGGGCTGGGACATGCCATGCTATGCCAGGCCACATGGCGATGCACCAGCATTGGTGAGGAGGTAGAGAGAGTGAGGGGGAAGATGTGGGCAAGAGTATTGCGGTTTCTGTGAGAAGGAATGGGAAAGGCAAGACAACCAGGCTTGGGATTAGCTAGTTTGAATAACTTCCGTGGACTCTGGAGTATAGGGGGTGTCCCTAGTTATCTGATGCCAGGGGCAAAGGATAGTAGCCCAGCATGTGAGACCCTAGTACAGGAGGTGGTTGGGGGTGTGGGTTCTGGATTTCTTGGTTATCCTAGCAAGGGTGTGCTCACAGGTTAGTTGTTTACTCTTTCTAGGAATGACCCTGGGAGGAGCAGTCCCTCTAGAGTCAGCAAGGCCCCAAGATGTCAAAGCATCATAAAATACTGAAAATGAAAAAGAACATGATTGTTGACGAAGAACATGACTTGACAATATGACTTTTTTTTTTTTTTTTTGAGACAGGGTCTCGCTGTGTCACAGAAGCTGGAATGCAGTGATGCAATCTTGGCTCACTGCAACCTCCACGTCCTGGGTTCAAGCTATTCTCCTACCTCAGCTTCCTGAGTAGCTGGGACTATGGACATGTGCCACTACAGCTGGATAATTTTTGTATTTTTAGTAGAGATGGGGTTTCAGCATGTTGACCAGGCTGGTGTTGAACTCCTGACCTCAGGTAATCCACCTGCTTCGGCCTCCCAAAGTCCTGGGATTATAGGCATGAACCACCACACCCAGCCACAAATATGACTTCTTAATGATTAATGATTAGGAGACCAGGTATGAGTTTAGAATGCTTGAATTCCTTGGACTCTATATCAGAAAGCAGAGGTGCCAGAGCACTGGTCCACTGAACCCAGCCTCCAGCTCTATTTTTCTGCACATCTCTGTTTTCCCTCACCATGACTGTCTTGCAGATTTGTGCACAGACACTCCAGCATGTGTGTCTGAGTTTTGTCTACCTGCTCTGTGGTGGGGGCTTGGATGCACTGCCCAGATCCTTCTTCTGGAAGGAAGGGTCAGGTTTCTGCAGCTACTCCCAGCTGTCAGCCTTTCAGGTTTGTGGGGGCTAAAGAAAATGGCCTTGTCCAAAGTTGCATCTGGATCTGGTATCCAATCAATGCAGAGGCATAAAAGCCTTGTCCCTTGTGCTAACTCGGAAGAAGGGCTCCTTGGCTTCAGAGCTCCCTGTGGGTTGGCTGGGGCATTTGTCAGATATGCTTTGCAGCTCCGTGCAATCCTGCCTCTTCTCTGCACTTTCACAGGTGGTAAGCAGAAGAGACTCCCTAATAAGCATCCAGGGTGTTAAACTCTACCTCAGGGTCAGCTTCCTGGGGAAGCCCACCCACCACAGTCCCTTTCCACTCACTTTCCTTCCACATACCCTTAACGCAGCAAGCCCCCTGCACCCTCAGGCCTAGGAAAGCACAGACTGGCCATACTGTGCACACTCAGAAGCCTAAGCTGGCAAAGAGGCTTGCTTGAGTTTAAGAAGCGGAAGTTACAATCCTAATCTCTGATAAAATAGACTTTAAACCAACAAAGATCAAAAGAGACAAAGAAGGGCATTACATAATGGTAAAGGGATCAATGCAGCAAGAAGAGCTAACTCTCCTAAATATATCTGCACCCAATACAGGAGCACCCAGATTCAAAAAGCAAGTTCTTAGAGACCTACAAAGCGGCTTAGACTCCCACACAATAATAGTGGGAGATTTTAACACCCCACTGTCAATATTAGAAAGATCAACGAGACAGAAAATTAACAAGGATATTCAGGACTTGAACTCAGCTCTGGACTAAGCGGACCTAATAGACATCTACAGAGCTCTCCACCCCATCACAAACTTAATCCATCACATAAATACCAAATACATTCTTCTCAGCACCTCATCACACTTATTCTAAAATTGACCACATAATTGGAAGTTAAACACTCCTCAGCAAATGCAAAAGAATGGAAATCATAACAAATAGTCTCTCAGACCACAGTGCAATCAAATTAGAACTCAAGATTAAGGAACTCACTCAAAACCTCACAACTACATGGAAACTGAACAGCCTGCTCCTGAATGACTCCTGGGTACATAATGAAATGAAGGCAGAAATAAAGATGTTCTTTGAAACCAATGAGAACAAAGACACAACAAAGCAGAATCTCTGGGACACATTTAAAACAGTGTGTAGAGGGAAATTTATAGCACTAAATGTCCACAGGAGAAAGCAGGAGAGATCTAAAATTGACACCCTAGCATCAAAATTAAAAGAACTAGAGAAGCAAGAGGAAACAAATTCAAAATCTAGCCGAAGACAAGAAATAACTAAGATGAGAGCAGAACTGAAGGAGATAGAGACAAGAAAAACCTTTCAAAAAATCAATGAATCCAGGAGCTGGTTTTTTGAAAAGATCAACAAGACAGATAGACCACTAGCCAGACTAATAAAGAAGAATAGAGAGAAGAATCAAAGAGACGCAATAAAAAATGATAAAGGGGATATCACCACCTATCCCACAGAAATACAAACTACCATCAGAGAATACTATAAACACCTCTATGCAAATGAACTAGAAAATCTGGAAGAAATGGATAAATTCTTGGACACGTATACCCTCCCGTCTAAACCAGGAAGGAGTGGAATCCCTGAATAAACTAATAACAAGTTATGAAATTGAGGCAGCAATTAATAGCCTACCAACCAAAAAAAGTCCAGGACCAGATGGATTCACAGCCGAATTCTACCAGAGGTACAAAGAGGAGCTGGTACCATTCCTTCTGAAATGATTCCAAACAAGAGAAAAAGAGGGAATCCTCCCTAACTCATTTTATGAGGCCAGCATCATCCTGATACCAAAACCTGGCAGAGACACCACAAAAAAAGAAAATTTCAGGCCAATATTTCTGATGAACATAGATGTGAAAATCCTCAATAAAATACTGGCAAACCGAATCCAGCAGCACATCAAAAAGCTTATCCACCACAATCAAGTCAGCTTCATCCCTGGGTTGCAAGGCTGTTTCAACATATGCAAATCAATAAACATAATCCATCACATAATCAGAACCAATGACAAAAAACACATTATTATCTCAATAGGTGCAGAAAAGGCCTTCGACAAAATTCAACACCCCTTCATGCTAAAAACTCTCAATAAACTAGGTATCGATGGAATGTATCTCAAAATAATAAGAGCTTTTTATGACAAACCCACAGCCAATATTATACTGAATGGGCAAAAACTGAAAGCATTCCCTTTGAAAACCAACACAAGACAAGGATGCCCTCTCTCACCACTCCTATTCAACATAGTATTGGAAGTTCTGGCCAGGGCAATCAGGCAAGAGAAAGAAATAAAATGTATTCAAGTAGGAAGAGAGGAAGTCAAATTGTCTCTGTTTGCAGATGACATGATTGTATATTAAAAAAACTCCGTAGTCTGAGCCCAAAATCTTCTTAAGCTGAAAAGCAACTTCAGCAAAGTTGCTGTTATCAATGTGCAAAAATCACAAGCATTCCCATACACCAATAACAGACAAACAGAGACCCAAATCCTGAATGAACTCCCTTTCATAATTGCTACAAAGAGAATAAAATACCTAGGAATACAACTTACAAGGGTTGTGAAGGACCTCTTCAAGGAAAACTACAAACCACTGCTCAAGGAAATAAGAGAGGACCAAACAAATGGAAAAACATTCCATGCTCATGGATAGGAAGAAGCAATATCATCAAAGTCACCATACTGCCCAAAGTAATTTATAGATTCAATGCTATCCCCATCAAGCTACCACTGACTTTCTTCACAGAATTGGAAAAAACTATTTTAAAGTTCATACAGAACCAAAGAAAGAGCCCACATAGCCAAGACAATCCTGGGCAAGAAGAATGAAGCTGGAAGCATCACGCTACTTGACTTCAAACTATACTACAAGCTTACAGTAACCAAAACAGCATGGTACTGGTACCAAAACAGATATATAGACCAATGGAGCAGAACAGGGGCCTCAGAAATAACACCACCCATCTACAACCATCTGATCTTTGACAAACCTGACACAAACAAGCAATGGGGAAAAGATTCCCTATTTAACAAATGGTGTTGGGAAAACTAACCAGCCATATTCAGAAAACTGAAACTGGACCCCTTCCTTACACCTTGTACAGAAATCAACTCAAGATGGATCAGAGACTTAAACGTAAGACCTAGGACCATAAAAATCCTAGAAGAAAACCTGGGCAATACCATTCAGGACATAGGCGTGGGCAAAGACTTCATGTCTAAAACACCAAAAGCAATGGCAACAAAAGCCAAAATTGACAAATGGGATCTAATTAAACTAAAGAGCTTCTGCACAGCAAAAGAAATTATCATCAGCATGAACAGGCAACCTACAGAATGGGGGAAAATTTTTGCAATCTATCCATCTGACAAAGGGCTAATATTCAGAATCTACAAAGAACTTAAACAAATTTACCAGTAAAAAACAAATAGCCCCATCAAAAAGTGGGCAAAGGATATGAACAGACACTTCTCAAAAGAAGACATTTATGTAACAAACAGACGTATAAAAAAATGCTCATCATCACTGGTCACTAGAAAAATGCAAATCAAAACCACAATGAGATACCATCTCATGCCAGTTAGAATTGCGATCATTAAAAAGTCAGGAAACAACAGATGCTGGAGAGGGAGTGGGGAAATAGGGATGCTTTTACACTGTTGGTGGGAGTGTAAATTAATTCAACCATTGTGGAAGACAGTGTAGCGATTCCTCAAGGATCTAGAACTAGAAATACCATTTGACCCAGCAATCCCATATACCCAAAGGATCATTGTACTATAATCATTCTATGATAAAGACACATGCACACTTATGTTTATTGTGGCACTATTCACAATAGCAAAGACTTGGAACCAACCCAAATGTCCATTAATAATAGACTGGATAAAGAAAATGTGGCACATATACACCATGGAATACTATGCAGCCATAAAAAAGGATAAGTTCATGTCCTTTGCAGGGAGATGGATGAAGCTCGAAACCACCATTCTCCGCAAACTATCACAAGAACAGAAAACCAAACACCACATGTTCTCACTCATAAGTGGGAGCTGAATAATGGGAACACATGGACATAGGGAGGGGAACATCACACACCGGGGCCTGTCGGGTGGTGGGGGGCTCGGGAAGGGATAGCTTTTGGAGAAATATCTGATGTAGGTGACCGGTTGTTGGGTGCAGCAAAACACCGTGGCACGTGTATATCTATGTAACAAAACTGCATGTTCTGCACATGTACCCTAGAACTTAAAGTATAATTAAAAAAAAAAGAAGTGCTCCCAGGGACATTTGGGCAGGAAATTCCCGTGTTCTGGGTACCAAGAACACAAACCAGAATTGAAGGGGCAAATCTTTTGGCCATGTGACTGCCTCACCATGCAGAGGGGCATTCTGGAGGAATCTGGAAGTGAGGGTTCTCTATCATGATGCCCAGGGCAGGGGCCCCTCTTGGGCAGGTCCAAGGGCTATTCTAGATTGAAGCAGATATTCAATCATTTGTATTTTTCCTGTGTTAATTTTTTTTTTTTTTTTTTTTTTTTTGAGACAGAGTCTCAACTCTGTTGCCCAGGCTGGAGTGCAGTGGTGCGATCTCGGCTCACTGCAACCTCCGCCTCCTGGGTTCAAGCGATTCTCCTGCCTCAGCCTTCTGAGTAGCTGGCATTACAGGTGCGTGCCACCACGCCCAGCTAATTTTTGTATTTTTAGTAGAGACGGGGTTTCACCATGTTAGCCATGATGGTCTCGATCTTCTGACCTCGTGTTCCACCTGCCTCGGCCTCACAAAGTGCTGGGATTACAGGCGTGAGCCACCGTGCCCGGCCTTCCTGTGTTAATTTTTTACACATACTTGTTCATCACCCATGTATCTATCACCTGCATATTAAAGGAGAGGAGACCTCTGTGTGTGTCTTACTAGCCGGGGCACGTTGTCTTAGCATCTTTGGCCTCTAATGAGACTATGTTTATAAGCAAAAGGTGCCCAGTCAGGCATAGTGAGGCCACTTGGGGGTGAGGGCCGGTGCCTGGATGTGGACAGCATGTGTGTGTTTTGAGGTGGGAGTAAGGCCTGGAGTGATGAATGGAACTTTATAGCCAACAAAAGGCTTTCCTCAAATGGGAAGTTGTTCTGACCTCACTTTGTGCCTCTGCTTGGCCAATTTGGCCTTTTTCCTGCCAAATCCATTTGGCATAAGGAGCAGGCAGTATTTGGGCTGGCTGCTTGGGAACTTTGTAAGACAGTTGAGGAGGGCACCTCCAGCCTGGAAAACACTGCGTAGTCCGGATCTGGCTGCCTTACGGGGGCGCCATCCTTGGCCACTGAGCACAAACTACGTCTTCCTGCTAGTGTCCCAGCAGCTCTCCCAACAGCAACAGCTCAGACCACCCATCAGACCCACAAGCTCGTGTGTCTTTTAACAGTTGCATATGAAAAGCCTCTGCTTTAGAGGGAAAAGTAAATTCTTTCCTTTTGCGAAATTCCCTCAGTGAAATTCATAAATTATGTTTCATCACAACTGGGCAACAATATTGTGTATTTGTAAAAACAGAGCCTTTGGCATAAAACCCAAGTGGGTCTGAATTTTTTATTTACTCCTTGAAATAACTTCTCCCAGCCCCAGTCTCCTTATCCTCAAAAGGGATTTAGAGAGTTATTGTGAGAATTAAACAAAATAATGATGCACATGGAGCATCCTGCCAGCACTCAGTGTGAGCTCACTTTTCCTAGCTTAAGAAGATCAAGTGTGGATTGGGGCTTGTTTTAAACACAAGTTGTTTAAGAAGATAGTATTCCACTTTTAAAACAAAGTCCCAAATTTTCTTCCTTCTTCTGTCTATAAAAAAGAATGAAAAAAAATTCTGTGTGTGTGTGTGTGTGTGTGTGTGTGTGTGTGTGTGTGTGTGATGCCCATATTTCAGGGAAATAACAGGAGAAAGAATCAAAGAATGAGACTGCATATTCTCAGTTGCATACTACTAGGTAAGACAGTAAATAGGCATTCTAAGCAATTTAAAAAATACTGTAAATTAATCTCCAGGTCACAACTCTTTCAGTTATATGCGCCAGAAAGCAAGAAAGCAAACCCAAATATGCCTGCTGCTGTCAGCAGGGATTGCTGAGAAAAGTTAGCCTGTCTTTCCATTTAGAAAAAGCATTTGACAAAGGCACGTGAGTGGGAGGCTGTGAAGTGAACCTGCTTGGAACTGATAGTGTTAGCTTTTTACTGACCTGCTTTCCATACCGCAAGCATTTGGTTTTTCTTTTGTCATTGACTTGTGCGGATTTATTAGACTGTGTGCTTCAAGGGTGTCAGGAGATTGCATGTAGGAGCAGGTCTGAACTGGGAAAGTGAGAATTACCATATTAGATGATACCCAATTAACTAGTGACAGGCACAGCAGGTAAAATCGGTACCTGGGCTTTATCTACTATAAGCACTCGCCACATAGCAAACATTTTTAAACCTGGTGGAGCTTCCTTACTCATTTCTCCTTTCCTTCATCCTGCCCACTCTCCCTTCCTGTCTAAGCAAGGAGCTGTGTCTACCTATGTAAGTATCAAGACAGACAGGTCTTTGAGATGTGCTCCAGGGTTCAAGGGCAATGGGGCAGAACTCTCTGAGGGTGGTGACTCACTGGGAAGCAACAGCCACACACCACCCCACAGGACAAAACAGTGGAAGTGGAGGCATCAACATAGTTCAGAATAATTGATTTTACTTTTTTCATGGACAACTGAGTCACAGGATGATGTCCCAGTTCTGAAAACACTTTCTCACTCTCTGTTCTTTGGGTACCTTTGCCAGCATGAAGTTACTTACTATAACTCAGCATTCTCACTCGCGTTACTCAAAGGTGAAAAGCTGGAAGAATGAGTTAATCTTACTTCCACATTCAAATGTGGCTATTAGGGCAGTGATGGAAGCTCAGAGCCTGTGCTTTTGGACAGGCTGATTTCCTGTAGCTACTCTGTCTTCCTTTGGTGTGGGATCATGTAGTCCATCTAGTGATCATAATGTAAGCTTGGAGGGAAATGATTTGGAAATAATTGGGAAGGTAAAATGATATGACATGAAATGCCTGCTATTCTAAAACACAAATCTTATTTTATGTGCAACTGCTGTTTTGGATTATCCATGCCTCCTCCTGCATCAGCTAGCATGGAAAATCCTTTAAGATCTCTAACTCAGTCACTTCCTCAGGGAGTCATGTTTAAACCCCCTCAAGCTGGGCCAAATCTCCCTCCATGACGCTCTGAGAATGACTGCTGCTTTTATCATTGAATCTAACTTGTTGCTTTTATTAGTCATCTATTGATGTGACTCTTTCTGTTACCAAGCCTGATTTTCTTAAGCCCACGGGCAGCGTGATATTCACCTCTGTGGCCCCAGTGCCTAACATGGAATCTGGCATGTGTTAGGCATTTAAGGAACATTAGAGGCAGGGTGTGGTGGCTCACACCTGTAATCTCAGTACTTTGGGAAGTGGAAGTGAGAGGACTGCTTGAGGCCAGGAGTTCGAGATCAGCCTGGGCAACAAAGTGAACCCTCATCTCTACAAAAAAATTAAAAAAAAAATTAGCTGGGCACAGTGGCTCACACCTGACTCAGCTATTCAAGTCTCAGCTGTTCAAGAGATTGAGGTGGGAAGATCACTTGAGCCCAGGAGTTCAAGGCTGTAGTGAGCTATAATCACGCCACTGCACTTTAGCCTGGGTGACAGAGCAAGACCTTGTCTCAATGTCTCAAAAAAAAAAAAAAAAAAAAAAAGAAAAGAAAAGAAAGAAAAAGAAAAAACATTAGATGAATGTATGAATGACAGTCAGGTATAACTCCAAAGAGAAACCCTTTCCCTGTTACCACTTATTAAATCAGTAGGACTCATATCTGTTAATTTTCCTTCTCTCTGTAAACATCTTATCAACATCAGAGAAAAAGAGACAGAGAATTAACAACAACATACTGAACGATGCCCTGACAATGAGAAATGAATCCCTTGCTAGTTTGGTAATGATGCATTTATTTGGCTCTGGATCTAGAGAATTTATATTGAGTAGTCAAAAGCCTGGGAAGGACTGAACTCTGTTGAACTCAGAAATCCTCTCTTGAGAGTTCTAGCTAAACTAGAACTACCACAGATAGGTGATAGCAGAATGCTATATTTGAAATGCTGCAAATAAATAAATTTATACATGCAAATCAAAATCTTTTAGTAAAATCACACAATTAACCTCTCACTGGGGAGAAAGAGCCAATGTAGATATATGCTTTAGAAAGTTGTTAATCATTTTCTCATTGCAACCTACTTTGAAATCACCTTGGCCTATTGTCTCTCATATATATATGTTTATATATATATATATATATATATGTATATATATATATAAACTTATTTTACACAATGTAGATTTATTTTATGCTGATATACTAGTAATGTTCTTCCCTACATTTTACAAACAATGAGATTTTCATTTATTGATGGCTGGTCTTTGCAATGGTCAGTACTCTTTGTAACTCTGACTTTTTACAGCACAGCCTTTGGCCTCCCCTGAATTTAGTGTCTTTGAACACCTGCTTCATTTTGTTGGTGCTGAGATTTCACATCTCATGTGCACTAACTGCTGTCATGTTATATGAAGTTGAAGTCATGTGTTTTGTAACAATGAGCTCTGGAACTATCCCTTACTGGCAGTGTGACTTTGAACCTTACTGCTGCTCCATTTAACCAACTGTAAAATGGTGATAATGGTAGAGCTGCTTCACTGATACTATTATTTAGTTCATGTTTAGAATAAGGTGTTTAAAACAGGTCTTGCAAAAGAAAGTGCTCAGTAAAATGGTAGCTAAATTGATATCACGCGTGTCCCCACAGTGGGTCTCCAATGTGACAGTCAATATCATTTGCGTATGAGCAGACAAAACTCTCTAGGTTTTAGGGGTTCATGGTTGATATTTCCATTTTGCCCTTCAGTGTGAAATTTCACTCACGTAGGACTTCATGGAAAGAATCTACCATCTTTCAAGGACTTACACAATCTTATGCCATCCTACCTGCCAAGACATTCCAGCTGCAAGTCCATTTTCCTGTATTGCTGACTTTCCTGGGTCTTTTCAGGATTATGTTACCTCTTCATCCTCATGCATGATTTAATTATCCGAACAAAGGTTCTTTCATTCACTCGAAGACAGCATAATACCTTAGATATTTGAAAATTTCTCAGAGTTCTAAAATTTCTCCTTTGTCTTTCACATCTTCCTTCTGAAAGATTTTACTAAGTGGGAGTTAATTTTATCTAAATTGATTCTTGAATATTGATCTTTGAAATCTGATGACTTATTTTCATAAATGTAGGCCAGGTCTCACTTGGTACTTAATGTTAATTTAGAAAATTCCAATAACGTGGCTAATGTTTGACAAACTTTGCCATTAATGCTAAACTGGGGAGGTCCCTTTGGCTTCCATTTTCAAAGGTGAGATCGTATCGTACTGATCCCGTCTGAGGATGCCTTCCTTATTAATTGAGGGTGGTGGGGCTGGAGTTTCTTCAAATCACTGGTCCATTCAATCTGATAGCAAGTCTGCCTGGGTGTTACTCATTTCCCATGCTATTTTCATGTCAAATACTGCTGTCCCCTTATGCAAGGGATACAATTCATTGAAACCTCGTTGGACTTCCTCCCACTTAACATTCTCCTACCTTCCGTGTTGACATTCTTCTACCTTCCAACTTCCGTGTTTACACTGAAAAAGCTGTTGCTGGGTAGCTTGGTTATTTTTTTTCCCATCAGACTCATAGGGATATTTTTGGATTATTGGTTATGATGAATATTTATGGAAAATGTTGCTGTGCACTCCAGTGAGAAATCAGTGTTAAAGAGGCTGGTCCCACAGCTATCTCTGTGTCCCTGGAAGCCGTGTCCTTTTTCTATTTAATTAGTGCCAAGTATATGGTCTTGCATGAAGGAGGACCCAGATTGAACTCCTGTAGCATGATGTGTGTTTCATGCACTCTACTGTTTTCACTGATTTATGGCATTTAATTATCAATCTGTTAATCCAAGTTTTTGTTTAATTGGATTCATCAAACTAATTGTATGAATTCCACTCTGTTATCATGGCCTGAACCTGAATATCAGATTCCCTTAATAAACAGAAACAGTGAATGTGTTCCTGCTTCTTCCTGATCAGGAAGGGGGTCTGCAGTCCTCTGGTCTTGTTTGTTTCGTAGCATTTCATTTTGTATTCAGCATTTCTTTGAGCGCCCTCTTTGCTTCTTGGAACCTTGCCTTACTACCATTGCCATTCTCATAGGTCCCTGCTCTACTGGACCTAAAATGGTAGGGAAGAAAGGAAGAGGAGGGGAGTAAGAAGAGAGGAAAAGGTGAGCTCTATTCTCCGTCAGCGTGTCTGTGGCTGTATTGATTCGGAAGTTTAAAATCTAAACTCCCTGTCTACAGTCTTGGCCTGTCTTGAAGGTTGTGAGTCAACTTAGTGAATACATGCAAGGTACTTTTAGGCTGTCTGGCTGGGAGATAAGTTGGGTCCAAAGAAAGTAATAGTTCAACATAGCATTCTCCTTAGATGGCAGCCTCCAGGCAAGAAGAAAAGCCCATGGCTTTGCCTGGAAGTTCTTGTGCAGGTCCAGCGTGTCACCAACTGGTGCTTCAGACACTGAGATGAGGCAAATACTTAGCATTCAGTTTCTTAACAAAGTGATTAACTTGATAGACATCTAGATTCTTTTTAAACATAAGAATATGGCTTTCTTTTCTTCAGGTGGTGTGTCCATTTTTGTCCATCGGATAGAAGGTGCTATCACAATATAAATGGCGCGTTGCGTACGATCAGCAAGGGCTTCTTAAGTTACTCCCACTTCCTTAGTGATACTGTCCAGTCTCATTGCTTCAAACGCCAATCCCAAATGTCTCTGTTCCAGAACTTTCCCAAACTCCAGACTCAGATATCCAACCTCACACTTGACATCTCCACTGAATTTCTAAAAACTTCTGAAATTTAACAAATCCAAAGCCAAATTCTTGTCTCCCCAAACCCATTTCACTTCTCATTCTTCCCATCTCAGTTGATGGCAATTTCTGTTTTTTTTCTGGTGGCTTAGGGTAAAAATCTGTAGTCATTCTTGACTTTTTTTTTTTTTTTTTTGGAAACAGAGTTTTGCTTTTTGTTGCCCAGGCTGGAGTGCAGTGGCACGATCTCGGCTCACTGCAACCTCCGCCTCCCACGTTCAAGGGATTCTTCTGTCTCAGCCTCCCAACTAGGTGGGATTACAGGCACCCACCACCACGCCCAGCCAATTTTTCTATTTTTAGTAGAGACGGGGTTTCACCATGTTGGCCAGGCTGGTCTTGAACTCCAGACCTCAGGTGATCCGCCCACCTCAGCCTCCCAAAGTGCTGGGATTACAGGTGTGAGCTACCGCACCCAGCCAACTTTTCTTTTTCTTACACCTGGCATTTGACCCACCAGGAAAGCTATTGTCTCTACCTTTAAAATATATCTAAAATCTGCCCACTTATCACTAACTCCTGCTAATGCACTAGTTTAAGTCCCTATTGGGACATAGAATATGATACTACAAAGTACAGCACCTTGGAAACTGAGAAAACAGCAGAAGCAGAAAGGGTACTCTGACCATCTGCTGTCTTTCTGTGTGAGCTGATCTTAAAGGACTCTCTTGCTTACCTTCCCTGAAAGGTGAGCATAAGACCCTTATGTGACAGTTGCCCTGCCCCCCAATGTGGAGGGAAGGAATGCTACACAGAGGCCAAGGAGATTCTGAACAAACAGCCATGCTGAGCTCCAGTTTATCACCATTAGATCATGTTTTTGTCCAATCACGTTTCTACACAGCTGTCCATTTTTCATATGCTTCATTGAACCTAAGCACAAAAATAGACAGTTTTCTCTGGGTCTTGGGGTCTTCATCTCTGAAGGCTCCTATATCACATAAAACTTTGGTCACATAAATTTGTCATGCCTTTCTCTTGTTAACCTGTCTTTTGTTATAGGGGTGTCAGCCATGACCCTGGTGATGGGTGAGAAAAAATATTCTACTTTTCCTCCTCCACATCTCCATCATCTTTTCCTGGACGATTGCACTAACCTCCTCCATGTCTTTCTGCTTCCACCCCATCCTCCCTTATGGTGTATTCTCAACATAGTTGCTGTAGGTCAATCTCATTTTTTTCTTCTACAGTGTTTTTCCATTCCACTCAGAACACTCAAAATCCTGATAGTGGCTTTCTAGTTACTACAGCTGTGCAACAAAACATCCCCAAACTTAATGACTTAACATCACCATTAATTATGTGCAAAATTCTGTGAGTCAGGAATTCAGACAGGGTATAGTGGGGGGGACTTGTCTCCATCCTGCGATGTCTGGGTCCCTCAGACTCAGAGGCACTAACCACCTGAAAGCTCATTCACTCAGGTATCTGGAGGTTGGTGCTGGATGTATTCTAAGACCATCACCCAGGTTTTCAGCTTAAACACCTACACAGGGCCTCTCCATGTGGCTTGGGCTTCCTCACAAAATGGTGGCTGGGTTCCCAGGACAGAGAGCCACGCAGAAACTGGACTCTAGCCTCAGAAGAGTTATAGAATCCCTTCCATCATACTCAGTGGGTTGGAGCAGTCACAGCCTGTCCACATTCAAGAAGAGGGAAATAGTCTTTACCTCTTGATAGGGAGTGGCAAGGTTCTGGAAGAGTATGTGGTACCAGAAATATTGCTGTGGCCATTTTGAGACTATAGTCTACCACAGTGGCCCGCTTGATTGGACCTGGGTTGTTTCTCTGCCTTCATCTTTTCTCCCTATGGAACATTTGGCTCCGGCCACACTTGCTAGAGCATGCAGATGTGCTTCTGCCCTGGGGCCTTCAGACTGCCTACTCCATTCACAAGATGCCTGTTGATGCCCTCTTCCCTCCCTCCGCAAACTTTTATGGAGTGTCATTTCCCCAGTGATGCCTTCCCTGACCACTCTACAGCCCCTTTTCACTTGCTGTCTTTTTTTTTCCCCTTAAATCCTTATTGTCATTACCACCTTCTAATGTTTTATGGAATTTTTATGTTTATTCTTTAGCATCCCTTGCTGCCAGAATGGAAGCACTACAGAAGCAGGAATCTTTACCTCTTCTGTCCACTGAGCTATCTCACATGCCTAGAACAGTGTGTGGCACATAAATATGTATGGGATGTGAAACAGAGAGGGCGTTTCTGGTTTGGGCATTTGGAATTTGCAATAATTGCTCCAGCTAGCACAACTAAGTTTGTGTGTTAGACCAGCATAAGTCAATAAAAAAAGATACCAACTTAAACAGTTGTTTTCATTGTGTAAATGTCTCTTTTTATCTTTTATGGACTAATGAACCAGAATGTTTAATTGTTTTAATTTCCATCTAAATATTTAGTTTCTTTATGAGGAATGGCAGGGTACTTTTTCCAGTTCCACAGTCCCTCACCTTACACATACACGTTGACTGAAATAGAAGTCTAAGAATCCCCAGACACTCCAGTAGCATGAATCTGGGCAGCCTGGCTTCTGTGTTTCCACATTCTCCAACTTTAGAGTACATGAGCCCTTCAGCATAAATAACCCTTCAGAATAAAGGTTGTAATAAAAACAATGATAAAACCCACAATAACAATAATAATACTAGTAATAGACATGGCAGCACCATTGATAATTCCAGCCACCATTTGCTAGAAACCCCTTGGCTGCAGGTGTTCTTCCAGGCACTTGGTGTGCACGTCTGTTAGTTATTATCTTGAGAGGAAGGCACCTTCATTCCTCGGATGAGCAAAAGGGGAGAACTTGTTCAAAGTATATCAAATCTCTTTTATCCGTAAAGTGCCTCTTTGATCTGCTGAACCATAGCAATCATTCATTCCTTCAACATTTGGTAATTAGGAAGCGCTGAGTTTATCTCAAAGAGTAGCTGATCTCATCACTCATTGGATGTTGAGCAGTTGATTTCTAGTTACTGGCAGAATCCCATGTTTATGTTTATTTCTCAATGAAAGGTTCCACAATCCTCCTCTACCCCTAGTGTGGCTCTTCTGGTTCATCTGTAGGATGGGAATCATTACACTGTCAGGTTCTCTTTCCCTGTATTGGACAACCGAGCCAATGGCTATCAGTTGGGAAAGGTAAGAGATAGAGCACATGTCATCCAGTGATAGACTATCAGTGAGCTGCTTTTTAAAGACTACAGCAAGGCTGGCTCAGCGCTATTGCTCCAGCCTCTGACTTTCTCCTGCAGAGACACTCAGAGCCCCGGAATCCTCCCCAACTCATGACTTCAGGCAGCCACTCCAGTGGATTTGAGTGTTTTCCAAACATAGAATGTTACGATTACTAGTGGCTTGACCTCAATCCTTTGGCTTTGAGCTTTTAGTTGAATGGTTTTTATTCAATTGTGACTGCAGTTGCATTAACTTTGGATTTCCTTTTTTTCCCCCAGAAACAAGTGTGAAGGAAAATACTATGAAGTACATGGAAACACTTAAGAATAAACTGTGCAGGTAAGGATAATAATTTCTGTATTTCAGACTCCGTAGCACATCTAGATTCTTTATTATAACAGAATTTAGTTAAATCGATGAAAAAGGCTGGCCAGTTTCTCTAATAAATTAACAAAGAAAGACACAAAAAAGCCTTTTGAACCCCATCAGTGAAAGAGCAGGTGCCAGCCCTCATCTTGTCTTTTAAAAAGTAAGTAGATTAAGATGTTTAAAAGTGTCTTGGAGAGATCACAGGAGAGTTTTCATGTTCCATAAGAGAAGAATCTTCTTTACTATATTAAATTCAGAATTCATTCCTTAGTCTGTTTTTCCCTTTTTTAAACTTTAGTGTTTGAGGGGGGTCTTAAGGATTTTAAGGCGGTTTATACATGGTTTGGAATAATATAGAAATGCACGTCTTAGGTTCTGTTTTGAATCCTGAATCAAAACCAGCATGAAAATTTCTGGTTGCTTTTTTTAAAACCCAATTAGGAATTCATCTTTGAGAAATGTCAGGGATGCTGCAGCATGACAAGATGTTTCTGGCTTTTGTGGATGTGTGCTTAGGAAAATAAATCCCAGTCATCAGAATCTGTTCCTAATTAAGGCAACAAGTACTAGAGTGGAATATGCGCTTTCTTCCCTGGAAGTCATTTAGTTTTATGGAGACCATTTTGCTATTATTTTGGAATTTGTTAAGTAACTCTTTAGATAGGCTATGCCTTAAGCCTTTGTCTGCTAGGACGCTGTCTTGAGCTAAAATGCTGCTTTTCCATTAAGAGATGTTGAGAGGGCCTGCCTTGCAGAGCCCTACTCTTCAGGGTAAGCAAGGCACTACAGGATTTATTCTCATCCTTGGAAAGCCGTCCTATAACCTCCTGATTGATCTTTCCCTGCTTCCCATGCTCCTAGACTTGGGAAGAATCTATGACACAGGTGGTTAGCAGAGGTGAGCAGAATGAGGAGAGCTTGCACCTGGGTCAGATGCTCCGCTCTGAGTCTGGCCTTCCTCCTCTCGCATGTGTTCGGGGCAGATTTCTGGCACATCCTTCTTGATCTCAACTGCAGCTGCCATTGTTTTAGCCATCAGCACAGCACACACCGTAAGTTACATTAGGTTATCAGGCAGCCAGTGGTAGCCATAAGCACGTGGGTATTGGTAAAGAGACACCCATTTAAATTGCAGCTCTCCCACATAAAAACTGCCTAACCTTAGGTAAGTGCTCACTTTCTGTTCAGTTTGTTTTGTTTTGTTTTTTTAGCTATATAACTGGAGGAAAGGTACCTACCTCCCCAGCTGGTGTGTGAATTTAAATACCATATGTAAAGCATTCATGTGATTGGTAGTAGGCACGCATTAGTTTCCTTTACCTTCTTCTTATTTATTTATTTATTTATTTATTTTGAGATGAAGTTTCGCTCATTGCCCATGCTGTAGTGCAATGGCGCTATCTTAGCTCACTGCAACCTCTGCCTCCCAGGTACTAGCGATTCTCCTGTCTCAGCTTCCCAAGTAGCTTGGATTACAGGCAGTGCCACCATGCCCGGCTCATTTTTTTATATTTAGTGGAGATGGAGTTTCACCATGTTAGTCAGGCTGGTCACAAACTCCTGACCTCCGGTGATCCACGGCCTTGGCCTCCCAAAGTGCTGGGATTACGGGTGTGCACCATCGTGCCCGGCCACCTCCTTCTTTATATCATTAGAACTGATTGGACACTTATGAGTGGAAAAACACAAACTGCTTTTCCTCTGTTCTCACACAATGCAATAATCAACACAGAAGGCTTCTGTGATGAAATACATGAGGGTTTCTCCCCACCAAAAAGTAAGCAATCAGTTCTGCTGCAGATACCAGCTGGGTGTCCTCTAACTCATTTCCGACACCAGCTACCTGGAGACAGCATCAGATGCCACAGGTTGAGGGCTCAGTCCCACAAGACTGCCCCACTTACAATGCCAATGGCAAGCCCAGGTTGTTTTGCCTGGGCTTCTGACCAACCAACTAGAAATTGGGATTCCCATGATCCCCTCCTTGGGTTTGATTAATTTGTTAGACTGGTTCATGAAATTCAGAAAAACACTTATATTTACTGGTTTATTATAAAGGAGGTTACATAGGATACAGAAGAAGAGATGCATAGGGTGAGGTATGGGAAAGGGGCACCAAGCTTTCATGCCCTCCTTGGGCACACCATCTTCAAGGAACCTCCACATATTCAGCTATCTGGAAGCTCTCTGTACCCTCTCCTCTTGGGCCTTTTGTGGGGACATCACTGGATAGGTGTGACTGAAGTATGGACAACCATGTAGCAATGTGATTGGACAGAAACTGTGACCTACCACAAATAGACTGAGTGGGAAAACCCCACAGGGCCTGTGTGTTCAGATTCCCCAGCTTCTCTGTGCAGCGTTTCTTCCTTCAGGTGTGGGACAGGACTCCTTCTGAAATGAGGGTCTATGACCTACAGTCAGATAAGGTAGGTCAGAGAATTTCTTTCCTTCTTTCTTTTTCATAAGTTCAACTTTTATTTTAGATTCAGGGGGTATATGTATAGGTTTGTTATATGGATGTATCGTGCGATGCTGAGGTTTGGGGTATGATTGATCCTGTCACTCAAGTAGTAAGCACAGTACCCCTGGAATTAGTTTTCAACCCTTGCTTCCCTTCCTCCTCTGTCAGTCTCCAGTATCTATTGTTCCCATCTTTATATCCATGAGTACCCAGTGTTTAGCTCCCACTTGCAAGTGAGAACATGCAGTGTTTGGTTTTTCGTTCCTACATTAATTTGCTTAGAATAATGGCCTCCAGCTACATCCATGTTTCTGCAAAGGACATGATTTTATTCTTTATATGACTGCATAGTACTCTGTGGTATAAATGTACCATGTTTTCTTTATCCATTTCACCATTGATGGGCATCTAGGTTGGTTCCATGACTTTGCTATTGTGAATAGTGCTGTGATGAACATACGAGAGCATGTGTCTTTTTGGTAGAATGGTTTATTCTCTTTTGGATATATACCCAGTAATGGGATTGCTGGGTTGAATGGCAGTTCTGTTTTAAGTTCTTTGGGAAATCTGCCAACTGCTTCTACAGTGACTGAACTAATTTACATTACCACCAACAATGTATAAGTGTTCCCTTTTCTTCACAACCTCTCCAGCATCTGTTGTTTTTTGGCTTTTTAATAATAGCCATTCTGACTAATGTGAGATGGTATCTCATTATGGTTTTGATTTACATTTCTCTGATGATTAATGATGTTAAACTTTTTTTGTATTTCTGTTGGCTGCTTGTATGTCTTCTTTTGAGAAGTACCTGTTCATATCTTTTGCCCACTTTTTAATAGAGTTATTTGTTTTTTCTTTGTCAAATTGTTTAAGTTCCTTATGGATTCTGGATATTAGACCTTTGTTAGATGCATAGTTTGGGAATATTTTCTCCCATTCTGTAGGTTGTCTGTTTACTCTGTTGATAATTTCTTTTTCTGTGCAGAAATGGTTTAGTTTGATTAGGTCCCACTTGTCAATTTGTGTTTTTGTTGCAACTGCTTTTGAGGATGTGGGCATATATTCTTTCCCAAGGCTGATGGAACCATAAAAGAGCCTGAATATCCAAAACAATCCTGAGCAAAAAGAACAAAGCTGGAGGCAACACGTTACCCAACTTCGGGCTAAACTGTAAGGCTACAGTAACAAAAACATCAAGGTGCCGGTATAAAAGCTGAGAATTTCTTTATGGTCAGCTCCAAGACAGAAAGGCAGGGGGAGATTAGGGTATATTTTTAGTTTTTATGAACTGCCTAGGGGAGAAATAACAGTGGATGTGGGAGTTATGAGCCAGGAATTGTAGATGAAAACCTATATACATAATTTCAACAGTCATGCTTGGAACTCATCCTCTCTCCCTCCATGTCAGCTCCTCCTCCTGTTCATCCAGCCCAATGCACGGCCCACCACCCACCTGGCTGCCTGGGTGGGCGGGCACCATGGGCTCATGCTGGCTCACCAGCCTCCTTTCTCACTCAGTTCCCAGTCTTGTCAGTCTTGCCTCTTTAGCATCTCACAAGCCTGCCTACCTTTATCACACTGACATTGTGGGCCCCTCTTCTGATCATAATAGCAACTTTTCCTGCTTTGCTGTTCCACTGTTGCCCTCTTACCACCTTCTCCAGGTGGTTTTGAGTAAGCATCTTAAAATACCAATCTGGTCATTGCACAAGGCTGCCCGATGTCCTAAGCATAAAGCCTAAATGCCTTACCATGGTTCATGGCATTCTTCCATGTGGCCTCTGCATGTACTTGATTATCACCCATCACTACCCCATCATCACCCTATTGTAGCTGATACTTGTTCCCTTATGCTTCCCAATGCCATTGCATTTTTTTTTTTCTGGAAAGAAACTAATTTAGAAGGGGACATGGTTAAGGAGTATCATCCAGAGAAATATTCGATTGAATCATGTGAAATTGCTGATATTTCACCATTTTTGACCTAGAAAAATGACAATTTCATATAGTTAACCCAATATTTAGGGATTTGAAGTCATCTTCAGAAGGGTCAGATGCTGTGGCTGGTCTCCTTGCCCTTGACACACAGGCATAGTTTGCTCCCCCACCCCTCTGCATGTGCCCTGGTGGGCCTCTCCCAGCCCACCCCTCACCCTCACCAGGCCTTCCCATTCAGCCTTCAAGGTTTAGATTTCTCCTCTGTGCAACCTTCCCTGACTAACCAAGACTGAGTAATGTGCTTGCAATGATTTATTCTCACTTTCCAAGTGCTCCTTGACAGGTATTATAATGTAGCAGGACAAGCCGCAGACAAAACTCCTCAGACGCTGAGTTAAAGAAGGAAAAGCTTTATTCGGCTAGGAGCTTCGGCAAGACTCACGTCTCCAACAACTGAGCTCCCCGAGTGAGCAATTCCTGTCCCTTTTAAGGGCTCACAACTTTAAGGGGGTCTGCGTGAGAGGGTCATGATCCATGTGAGCAAGCAGAGGGTACGTGACTGGGGGCTGCATGCACTGGTAATTAGAATGGAACAGAACAGGACAGGGATTTTCACAGTGCTTTTCTATACAATGTCTGAAATCTATAGATAACATAACCGATTAGGTCAGGGGTCGATCTTTAACTGCCAGGCCCAGGGTGTGGCACCGGGCTGTCTGCTTGTGGATTTCATTTCTGCCTTTTAGTTTTTACTTCTTCTTTCTTTGGTGGCAGAAATTGGGCATAAGACAACATGAGAGGTGGTCTCCTCCCTTAATAAGATTAAGTCTGCCTTGTTCAGGACTGTATTCTCAGTGATTTGCCAGTGCTGGATGGTACAGGGGTTCCCAATAAACATGTATTGAATGAATGATTGAATAAATATGTGAATTAATGCAAATAATTTGTAAACATCCTAGGCTCATCTTTTGTCATCTCCAGCCTCTTTCTCTGCCTCTCCAGCCATGCTGACGTTGCAAAGCCACCTTGCCCCTGGCCTCTTGACTCACATACCTTAGCTACCTAGGATCCTGCCACAGTCTCAAATGACCGTGATAGTAGCTGGCCCTTCCTGTAGCCTGGAGGGCTCTTTTCATGCTATTTCAAGCTATTATGAGGCCTGGGTCAGATTTGTGTGAACTGGTATGGTGTAAACAATGGAACAGGGAGGAGAAAAAGCAGCTAGGAGTCTGCAACCCCTCTGGCAGTAGGCAATTCTATTCCCACTTCAGAACAGGAGGCCAGAGTGGATGCTGCAAAAGCCTGGTGACCATCAGGCTCTCTGTGACAGAGCCCAGTAGTTATGGTTGTTTTCAGACACTCTGTGGGCTCCACTGATAATCTGTCACCTTCACAGTTCCTTTCCAAGAGGATCAACATTTTACAATAGGAAAACAGTTTTAACACCTGACACAGTGGTGCATCTTAGTGACTGCTTGATTAACATCTCAAGTTATCCATTAAAGAAGATGAAAATCTTTACCTGTTCCCACTGTTCAGCGTTTCTTGGTCTTACAGGATTTTAGAGAGGAAGCAGCTGAGAACAGAATGGATTGCTCCTTTTCCATTAGAATGCTGGAGAGCATATACTTAAAGATCAGAGCTAAGAAACCTAAATCTGGCTAGTCACCATTTTGGGGACAAATTCAAATGATAGCACTATCTTTGTTACTCTTTCAAAGTATACAGAGACCTGAAGACCCAGATATTGAGGCAAACTCAGGTGGACTCAAGATCTATTCTCTATCAAGTATATCAAGTGAGTTAGAAAGTGAGGAAGTATCTGATGCTGGCAGTGGTTCAAAAGCACATCTTGCATAACTCAAAGCAAAAAGTGGACAAATATTACATGAGGACTTTTAGTGTATGTTTAAATAAGGGTTTGCCTTGTAATCATCTGAGTTATAAGTTAGATGCATGTATTCCTGTTCCTCCTTCTACAAAGGAGAGATTCCATTTGTGGATTTTTTTTCCAATTTCCACCTGTTTTAGGAATATCCCTCCTTCTCCTTATCCATAGCCAAATATCCAGGAGGGTGACTGCGGTCAGTACCTGGTCATTCCATAGAGGCTTTCCTCTGCATTCCCATCACTACTACCTGCAACTTGGCCCATTAAATAATCTCCTAACAGCCTCTCTTCCCTCCTGGCTCACAACAGTTTAGTCTGCTCTTCTCCCACAGCCAGAATGACTTTATTACCATCCTGTTAGGCTCCTTTCGCATCCAGCATAAATTCCACAGTCCTTGTTATGTCCTCCTCCTCTCTGCCCCTTGGGCTCTTCATGAGGTGGTTCCAGGCTACTGGTCCAACCTCATCTCTGTAATCCTCATCTGCACCAGGTGACTGATGCTCCATTCTAGCCCATTTCCCTACATTAACTGTGCTCCACAGCAGCACCTTTGCAGAGCCCTCCCCGACCTAGCCCCTGTGCTCACACTCATCCTTATGACTCAGCACAATTGTCCTTCTCTATAAAGCCTTTCTGGCCTCCTGCTATTTCCTGCATGGTACCCATAGTGGTAGCCATGTACACGAATGTGTTGCATTCACTCAGTCTGTCTAATTCTATTAGACTGTGAGCTCCTTGTAGATGGAGCCTTTACTTTTCTTATATTCCAAGTGGTATTCTAAGGTTTCCATGCCTTACTTTCCTTGTATTCTAAGTGGTTGTCGTGCTGTTTGGCATGTAGTCAACAGACAAATTGTATTTAATGCAAGAATGAATGGATAAATCGCAATTTTATCTTGTTCCTCCTTGGAAATTTATTTGCAACTTGATTATCTTGACACTATATTCTCAACTATTACATTCAGAAAGTCAAGGCAACCTGAGAAGATACAGTGCCCAAATCCATTTGTCTTGCCATCAAATCTTAGTGGTATATAATAGAATAGAAAAAAACGACTCTTAAAGAGCTTGACCCACTTACTCTCACTCCTTCAGGGTTATTGTTTCCAGAGGTGAGTAGTTAAGTGTGATTTTCTCCTAGCTTGTTTTCTCTTATGGCCAAACCTTGCTTTAGTTTTTATTTTCTCAATTATTACATATTATCTGTTATCTTTTTTAAAGGGTCAAATGAAATATTCAGAAGGCTTTACTTTATAGATGGGTTCCTGTTGAAATGGATCTTATATCTCTAACCATTGTACAGGAGGAATTCATTATTGCCTGATGGCAAACTCATGTCTCTGGACCAAGTGGGCCAAGCCCTCCCCCTGAGGATGGGTGTAGTGGTTCCATTTAACTGATGGAATCTCTTGTATGCATGACTAATGTGAACATTTCTCTTCTTTCTAGAATCTCTTCATTCTAACTCTACTTTTTTTCCTGAAGTTCAACATAAAACCTTTACCACGAACTCTTGAGCACTTGGTAGATTATAAGTGATGCTTGCGTCCTTGTCCTCTAGTGAACCTTTACCACAAACTCTCGAGCACTTAGTGGATTATAGCTGATGTTTGTGTCCTTGTCCTCTAGTGTGTTCCTCAAGTGTTTGCTTCCAGTGTGCATCACACTTTTATCATCAGAAAAGACAAACAAAAAATCTTTTAACTCTGTTTTGAACATAGAAGAAAGTAGTTGGATACCTCCTTGGAGGCCCTTCTTAGCTTTAGAAGGAACTGTCAAGAACTCAATGGTCTTATCTGAAATTTGCTTTGAAATTTAGAGATTGATGTATTTTTACAAAGATGATCCAGTTCTCTTTTTAAAAACTAATGTTTACTTTTTAATTATTAAAATTTCAATAGGACAGCCTGATGTGGAATGATAGCCAGGTGAACTCACCCTGCTAATGAATGTCCAGAGGTGGCCAGCAGGGTGAGCAGCACCTGAAAGACCAAGGTCTGTTCCCTCACCCAAGGCTCCCAGAGCCTGTGTGTCATGGCCAAAAGAGACTGTAAACTGCCAACTGCTCTCAATCTAATGAAGACGGGAACCGGGGTCAAAAATTGGAGCAATTGTTTCCAAAACAGGTGCACACAAAACAGTTTACTGGAGTGTGGGAAGAACATATTATAATTTCTATTTTATGCTTCAATTTCATCCATTTATATTTTATCTTCAAAAATGTTTTATATGTATGTAGTAATACATGTATACCACTTGTGAAACAAATATTGGAGTTTCATAATTTTCTTACTGATGAGTGCACACAGTTTAAATTAGAGAGTGTTGAAAAAATATTCATTTACTTATGTTCTAATATTAAACCATAGCAGTCTCCATAAAATATTCACTGTCGGATTTATACACTTTTGAACTTTGAAGCTATTTGACTATTTTGACCAATTTTACAAGAGAAACAATGATTTACATTACCTTATCAGTTTGAAATGCAAACTGTAAGAAAATATAAAGCGCTTAATTCTACAAAGTTAAGTGAAATCATTAATTTGATAATCATTGATTTTTGCATTTAACTTTTACCTTATCTCATCAGAAAAATCTTAAGTATGCTTAAAATAATAATGCATAAGCTAAACATACGCAGAGAAAAACTGCATAAAATATAACAAAATGGCGTGAATTAAAAAGAGTAAAAAAGGAAGGAAAACAAAGGTAGGAAAAACATTAGTAACACTTTGATGGGGATTAGACTCAACACCATAGTAGTTCACTATTCTAGACACTCAATTAAGTATTAACTGATATGTATATAAAACTAAGTAACACTTTACAATGTAAAATGTAAATGATATAATTTATAATTAACTTTTCTGCATTGGCCTATTGGTCATTATAATACTTTCCATTCTATAAGAACCCATGTAATGAATTTTAACTCAGAAATAACTTTCCCAGGAAATGTTCACTTGTGATGGAATTTAGTTTCCAGAGTACTCAGATCAATTCAAAAAATCTGCATGCAGTTCTTCGGAGAGAGAAAGCAGAGTTCCATCTTCTAGAATTCCAGCTCCCTGTGTTAGGAAAGCCTTTCCTTCAAAACAAGAAAAGAAGCCGCCAACCCCGAATTGGAACTGGCCTCTTCACATCTGGACCACAACATGGGAGGCGGAGGCAACTCTTCCCTTCTCGGTACCCTGAGCAGACGTACCAGTCACAGTAATTAATATAAAAGGTGTCCTTCCTCTTGAGGCATCACTTTTAAAGCAAAAACAAGGGAGGCTGAGGCAGGAGAATGGCGTGAACCCGGGAGGCGGAGCTTGCAGTGAGCCGAGATCCCGCCACTGCACTCCAGCCTGGGCGACAGAGCGAGACTCCGTCTCAAAAAAAAAAAAAAAAAAGCAAAAACAAAAACAAAAAGCCCTCTCACACACACACAAAAACCTGTTTCTGTTTCCCTATGTAATGAAGACCCCTGAGGTTGGCAGCAGTGTTGTCCACCGCCAACTCCCTGTGGTCGATCTGGAAGCTTCATCTAGGGAGGGGCTCATGAAGGGGCCTCATGAGTAACCCCTCTCCTGAGGATTGTTATTTTCAAGTACCAGCTCTGGAATCAGATAGTCTAGATTCAAGGGTGGCCATTTCTGAGCTGTGGGCCTTTACCAGGTTAATGCAGCTCTTAAAGACTTGATTTTCTGTCATAACAATGGGATAACAGTAGAATAAGATAAAAACTATTTCTTATATATAATAAGGGATTAATCAATGATCACTAGTATGTACTAGTAGGAATTATGGCACCATGGAAATTATGAAACCAAGAAACTCTACATTAAAAAACAAGTTTTATTTTATAAAAACAGAAGAGAATACCTTATCTTCCTGGTGAAATTGTGGGGAGCAGAGAGATGTTTGCTTGTAGCTAATACCCTCCATTAAGGATCTGCCAAACCTCCTGATTATCCAAACACTCAGCGGTTTTTTTTTTTTTTTTTTTTTTTTTGCTGTCTGCCCTTTGGCCAGCTGTTAGCACCTGCTGCAGAGGGTGGGAAGAAAAAGAAATGAGGTAATTGAGTTCTTGCTAATGGCTGTGACAGAAGATTTAGAGCCTTCAGTGGTTCCTACAGTCAAGTGGCAGGGATCCTAGAGCACACTGCTGCTCTCAGAATGGATCTGGCTTGTTCTGGAGTTTTTGAGATTGACAGAGCTCAAAGTTCCCAGGCTCCAGAGCTCAGGTGCTGGGGAGGATTTCCCATCACTTCTGAGATTTGGGGAGCTCCAAGGCCCCTCCTCTTGACCCTCAGTGGAGCTCAAAAGAAAATCGTCTTGACCTCAGAGACAGCATTTTGGGGTGAAGATACTCCAATATACTTGTTTCTTTCTTTCTTTCTTTTTTTTTTTTTTATTATACTTTAAGTTCTAGGGTACGTGTGCACAACTTGCAGGTTTGTTACATATGTATACCAGTGCCATGTTGGTGTGCTGCACCCATTAACTCGTCATTTACATTAGGTATATCTCCTAATGCTATCCCTCCCCTCTCCCCCCACCCCATGACAGGCCCCGGTGTGTGATGTTCCCCTTCCTGTGTCCAAGTGTTCTCATTGTTCAATTCCCACCCATGAGTGAGAACATACCATGTTTGGTTTTTCGTCTTTGCGATAGTTTGCTGAGAATGATGGTTTCCAGCTTCATCCATGTGCCTACAAAGGACATGAGCTCATCCTTTTTTATGGCTGCATAGTATTCCATAGTGTATATGTGCCACATTTTCTTAATCCAGTCTACCATTGATGGACGTTTGGGTTGGTCCCAAGTCTTTGCTATTGTGAATAGTGCTGCAATAAACATACGTGTGCATGTGTCTTTATAGCAGCAAGATTTATAATCCTTTGGGTATATACCCAGTAATGAGATGGCTGGGTCAAATGGTATTTCTAGTTCTAGATCCCTGAGGAATTGCCACACTGTCTTCCACAATGGTTGAACTAGTTTACAGTCCCACCAACAGTGTAAAAGTGTTCCTATTTCTCCATACCTTCTCCAGCACCTGTTGTTTCCTGACTTTTTAATGATCGCCATTCTAACTGGTATGAGATGGTATCTCATTGTGGTTTTGATTTGCATTTCTCTGATGGCCACTGATCATGATGACTTGTTTCTTTCTTTCTGGTGTTTTCCTTGGAGAAAGCAAAAATATTGCCCTAGAGAATGGCATGGACAGAAAAGAAGAAGAAGGAAGATTAGAAGTGAAGCCCTGTGGGCTTGTCTGGTGAGGGCCCTCTTCCCAGGACTTAGCTGCATGGGAAGAATCTGGGTAGCACTACAAGGATGGAATCCATGGGGTCTTAGTTGCCTGTCATCATTTTCTTTGCCATTGATAATTCAACACTTAATCAAATGCGGTGGTGTTTTTGAAAGATAGCCTGAAGAAAAAGATGACCATGACTTTCACTAATAGAATAGAAAATAGACAGGAGATTGATTATCACTTAAAAGAAAAGGGTTCATTAAACAGGTTCCACTGTGGTTTGCGCAATTCAACCCAAAGTTTCTCTGCTGTAAAGCAATGATAAGATCACTCTGCCCACTGAGATCAATTGAGAAATCAACCAATATTTAAGAAGGTCTGAGACTTGGCAAGGTGCCCAGTGACTGAGAAAAGAGGGTTCCTCTTTCTTTAAGTTGGCAGAAAGACATTCAGCTGTGATTTTTACGTGGCCTGAGCTAAGGAAGAGACTGAGCTAAGGAAGGCAGTGTCTTGTGTAGGTTATATCCATGGTGCTCTATGAGCCTGTGCACCCATTATCCCCAGATATGTCAATGTGCTTCACAGTGTGCACATTTCATGGCACCTGTTACAGTTTTAAAAAGACAGTTTAATTAATTAATGGTGAATGTTCAATCTTAGATGGTTTTTTTAAACTCAAGATAAACCATTATAGCTTGAGTGTTTTTGATGCATTTGGCTAGGAGTTAGGAAATCTTAAAGAAAAATTAATTGCTGTATCAATGGAAACCCCAGTAGGTAGATAACAAATTTGTCATTAATTAAATGAGAAGACTTTTTAATGATTCGAGGAAGCGTCGTCAAGATTGTATGATAGTTTAATTTGCTAACATGGTATGAACCTGTTAGCTTCAGACACATGATTAATAAAAGTAAAACCCCTCATGGAATTTCTCAGATGCTCAGTTCTAGCATGCAGTCATTTTTGAGACTTGCTCAATGTCCTTATCTCACTTTACTGACAGTTCTGCAGCAGCCGTGGCAAATGTAGGTTAGACAAAATATTACATGCAACATTTTCTATGATTCATTTTGCTCCTTTTTCCCTCTTCCCCTTCCTCTCCAGCCACCCTGAGTCATACAACAGCTGTGAGAACATTAGTTACAAGGGAGCGAGCTGCAGACACTTTAGGTGCTGGGCTGTATCCCATTATATCTGGATGCTGACACCAGGATGGGTTCTAAATCCCTTATCACAACTGCCTCAGGCGGAAAACATTTTTTTTTCCTTCTGTTGCTGCTGATGTAAAGATGAAGTTTCTCGAGCTGAGAGAATTTTATGTGATCGTATTGTATGCTAAGCCTCAGAAGATAATTCTGTAGCTCCCATTCATCACAAAAGCAGGGACTTTCAGTTGTGCTTCTTTAAGAAAAAAATTCCCCAGTAGAAATCATACAATGATTTAGCGGACTAAGAAAAAGAAGAGAATCACCAACAGGATGACTTGTGACAATTACACGAAGTCATTTGACTGAGTTATTTCCTTTATTATTCTGTAAATGGGAAAATAACGAACATGCTGGTTATCAGCTGTGGTTTTGCAATGGAGGCGTTCCACCAGTGCAGAGCGGTAATTACGCTGCCCGGTCTCACTTTGCAAATGAACTGAAGCCTGTCTCTTTTAATTGACTGTCTGTCTCTAGAATTTTCTTGATTTATTGCTGCTCAGTAGAATTTACTTTTGTTTTGTTGATGGCATTTGTCAACTCTAGTAGTTACCAAATGGAAATTGTTCTAGAGGGTTGCTTTGGCATAAGTGTGCTCATTTGTGTGGCTTATTGGAGCATGAAGGAGAGATGTGCTTCTGTAAGATGTCTTGCCCTTCTGCCTGCCAGAGGGGCAGGGGCTCACCTGGAGTATGTTTCATCTGGTTCCTTAGATCTGTAAGTGACTATGAAGCCTTTCAACTGGAAGAGTTTAGTCAAGTGTAACTGTATGATTTCGGAATGAATATGGCCCCATCTTTGTTTCCCAGGTGGTGAGTGTTTAGGGCATTATATAGCAGCTGTGATGATGAGAGCTTGGCTTCTCATCTCCAGCTATGTTAGTCTACCTAGGAAGAAGGATTCTTCTCTAAGAAGAATTCAGTGGGACAATATCCAGAGATACAAATCTCAAGAGACAGACTCCTGAAAACAAATTGACTGCTCATTTGGCTTCAGATTCCATGCATAAATCTCCAGCTCTGACTGTTAATCACAGCCACTAGACCTCACGACATAGGATTTTAGAGGCAGATAAAGAAAATGGCAGTTGATGTCTTAGCCTGTTGCTATGCCAGTCTATGATGAACTAGCACTACCTGAACTCAAGAGTAAGAAACAAATGAAACTGGTTATAAGGTTTAGGAAAAAGCAAATAAGCTGTTACTGAGAGTGGTGACCATATGGTACCTATAGGGTACACGGGCCCTCTGTGAAACCCGTAATATTGGGCTGCGTCTCCTCTTTCCTCTACAACCTGACCCCATCGCCTCATTTGATGGATTCCAGTCAATTGTAATTTTGAGAATTGTAAGACTAGTATACTAGTATGCCAATGTCTTGTTCTTTTTTTTTTTTTTTTGAGATGGAGTCTCACTCTGTTATCCAGGCTGGAGTGCAGTGGTGTAATCTCAGCTCACTGCAACCTCTGCCTCCTGGGTTCAAGCAATTCTCCTGCCTCAGACTCCTGAGTAGCTGGGACTACAGGCGTGCGCCACCACGCCTGGCTAATCTTTGTATTTTTAAGTAGAGATGGGGTTTCACCATATTGGCCAGGCTGGTCTCGAACTCCTGACCTCGTGATCAGCCTGCCTTGGCCTCCCAAAGTGCTGGGATTATAGGCGTGAGCCACCGCACCCGGCCGCCAATGTCTTGTTCTTTAAAGGAAGAATAAATACACATTTAGAAGATGGCTACAACCTCATGCAAAGGTCTCGAAGCAGCAAGTTGAGGGACAGGGCTTACTGGTCCAAGAGTAACTTCAGGCAGGGAAGCCTTTTCCCATGTCCTTCAAATTGACCACATCACTTGGATCATGAATGCTGTTGATCTGGTTTCAAAACATAAGAACAAGCATCTTCGACAATGCGGTTGATAAACATCATCAACAACAACCCACCGAAGCATCAGTTGTTTTGTCTTGTCCGTGGCAGTCCTGCATTCAGATCTGTATTCACTGTGTGATCACATGCATTTTTCCTAGGCCTATAATAGGTTTCCCTCCGCATGCCCAAACAGTGGAGCTAGCATTTTTTTAAATTTACAAACAAAGATTGTAAAATTCTAATTGGGAGTGGGACATCCTTTTTAAATAAATAGTCGTATTAATAGTAATAGCAAGGAGACCATCTAGATAGTACTCTATTTTCAGGGCTCAAAAGTGAAAAGCTAGAAAAGCCAGCTGTTTAAGCATTGGCAGGCAAGTTATGATACGGAGTACCCTCCTCACACCCACTCCAAACTAATGTGTCATCTTTCTCTGAAGAGCTGTGGCTGTTTTTGTGGTTCTGAGTTGACGGGGATTTTTTTTTTTCTTAAAGAGGTACATGTTTATGTTTGCAACATGGTATTTCTTGCAGCCATACTCCTCAAGTCACCATCTCCAAAGCTCACACACTAAACAGGGTCAAGTGAGTCAAAGCAGCAGGAGAGAACCATGATTGGGGTGTCTGGGACTAGAATGGGGAGGGCAGCATGTGCGGGTGCGGGGCTGGCCTTCCCGTGGTCTCAAGAGTGGGAGGTGTGAGTCTCTCCCTGGATGTTTAGCTCAGCATCACCTCAGAGTTTGAGCTTGACTGAAAACAACAACAATAACAAATATGCCGAAATATGATATCATTTAAAATAAACCCAACAACCTTTAAAAATTAACATTATTCCTTAATCGGACCATTTTACTGGTCTTTTTTTCTTAAGTCAGGAAAATAAATGCAAGCCTATGTGCAGGTCCTCAAAAAATGTGAAAATAAGCCTAGTAAAAATCTGGCAAGAGATGTGGTTTCATCAGCCACCTCATAAGCAGATCTTTTCACATAGATTTTAAGAGAGAAAGTTGGTTTATCTGCACTTTAGTGGATGCTTCCGTTTGCTTAACTTCCGTAATAAGAATCCCTAGAAAAACCTGGAGATAATTAGCAGAAGGGCGGAAGCATGAATTTAAATTCTTATACCCACACTTAATTTTGTCAACTTTATGATTTGCTAACCAGTGCTTTTTCTGCCAGTTTCTTTAAGTCTAGCTTAGTATTATAATAAAAGGAATCAATAATACCAATCTATATAGTAATTTTCTTCAAGAAATTCAAAATCCTATGGAGGAATTTAAGAAATATTTTAGGCCGGGTGTGGTGGCTCACGCCTGTAATCCCAGCACTTTGGGAGGCTGAGGCTGGCAGATCACGAGGTCAAGAGATCAAGACCATCCTGGCTAACATGGTGAAACCCCGTCTCCACTAAAAATACAAAAAATTAGCTGGGCGTGGTGGCACATGCCTGTAGTCCCAGCTACTCGGGAGGCTGAGACAGGAGGATTGCTTGAACCTGGGAGGCAAGGTTGCAGTGAGCTGAGATCGCACCACTGCACTCCAGGCCTAGCAACAGAGAGAGACTCAATTTCAAAAGACAACAAAACAACAATAACAACAACAACAACAACAAAAAACAAAGAAATGTTTTAATATGAGAAAACATTTTGCAAAAGAAGACATACACATGGACAACAGGTATATGAAAAAGGGCTCAACTTACTAATCATCAGAGAAATGCACATTAAAAGCACAATGAGATATCATTGTACCCCAGTCAGAATGGCTATTATCTAAAAGACAAAAAATAACAGATTTTGATGAAGATGTATTGTAGAGAAAAGAAGACCCTTATACACTGCCGGTGGAAATTTAAATTAGTACAACCTCTGTGGAAAACAGTATGGGGATTTCTCAAAGAACTAAAAATAGAACCTCCATTTGATCCAGCAATCCCACTACTGGAAATCTACCCAAAGGAAAAGAAATCAATGTATCAAAAGCCTGCACTTGTATGTTTATCACAGCACTATTTCCAACAGCAAAGATATGGAATCAGTGGGTGATTGGATAAAGAGAATTTGGCATATATACACAATGAAATACATAAAATGCATAAAATACAAATGCATAAAAAGAATGAAAGAATGAGATCTTGTCATTTGCAGCAACATGGATAGAATTGGAAGTCATTATCCGAAGTGAAACAAGCCAGACACAGAACATCAAATATCGTGTGTTCTCACTCCTAAGTGGGTGTTAAAAAATGTGTTCACATGGACGTAGAGAGAGGAATGATAGACGATGGAGATTTGGAAAGGTGAGAGAGTGAGAGGGGGTGGATGATGAAAAATTACTTATGGGTACAATGTACATAATTTGGGTGATGGGTACCCTAGAGCCCTGACTTAACCACTAGGCAATCTATGCATGTAACAAAATTGCCCTTGTACCGCATACATTTATTCAAATAGAAAATGAAATATTTTAGCCTATGCTCATTAGTTTACTTATGAAGCATCTACATGGCTCACTGCACTTTCTTCCTAAGTTCTCTGACTTCTGAGGCAGGAGGTGAGGCCAGGCAGCGGGCAACTGTGCTTCCCTTTCTCACCAGGACAGGTGCCAGGAGCAAGGGACCTAACTATTTTGGTGCAAAGTGTTCATTAATGGGTCTGTGAATCCCATCTCCAGCTCCAGCATGACTCCAGGGCCTAACATTAACTTGAGAACAGTATACAGGAAAAGGGATGTTTTTGAAAATGCTGATTATTTCATAGCCTCTGGGTGTCAGCCGTGAATCTCACTTTAAGCCCCGCTAGGGATCCTGTTGCCACCACTGAGCAGAAAATGCAGTGCTTCTGTGAAGGAATGGGGCACAGAACAGTCACCGCTAATGTGTTCCTGAAAAAGCCGGGGTGACCTTTCTTGTGGCTGCTTCAGAGGATGATGTCACTTTGGGACAGAAAAAGGAAGATCTCTTTCCAGTTCACATAGGATAATAAGAGTTCTGATTCTTAGTTGCATGTTGAAGAACAAACAAGGAGCATAGACACTCATCCTGGGGAAAAAGACTATGGAATCTTTGGAAGCTGAGAGGCCAGCCACTTACTTTCCTGGGATAGAGCTTTTATAACCCCCGTATTGGGCTTAACTCCATACCTTTGACGCTAAAGTTGTTCACTCTCTGGGGAAACCATCAAAACAATCAAACAGAAACAAGAGCTTTTAAAAATGGAATATTTAATACTTATGGCACAAATACCTTTTAGAGGATTGCAATGATCATGGTAGAGAGACTGATTCAGACATTTTTCAAATGTTTGTTGGAAATGTCTGAAAATGACAGGCAGTGATAGTATCAATAACTAACCTTCATCAAGATATCTGTGCATCGGATAATCTGCTATATACTTTAAAGAGATTATGTGCTGTATGCCTCCCAACAACCCAATGAGGGGTGAGCGCTATTATTAACAAGAATATGTAAGGCAACTGGGACTCAGAGAGATTCAGCACCTTGCCAAAGGTCCAACAGGAGTTCCTTTAGCAAGACTTAAAAAAATGATTACTGTGGAAATTTCCAAACATATACAAAACTAGAGAAATTATAATGAGCCCCATGTATGCACCTTATAAATTCAACAAATTTCAATACGTGGCCAAACTAGTTTCAGCTATCCTCCCACCTGCTTTCCTACCTTATTAGTTTTCTTTTGCTGCTGTAACAAATTGTCACAAACTTCATGACTTGAAACAACACAAAGCTATTCTCTTCTAGTTGTGGAAACCAGAAATCCATAATCAAGTCCACTGGATAAAGTCAAGGTGTCCACAGGGCTGGTTCTCTCTGAAGGCTCCAGGGGAGAATCCATTTGCTTGCCTTTTTCATCTCCTAGTGGCCACCTGCACTCCTTGGCTTGTGGCCCCTTCCTCCATCTTCAAAGTGCCTCACTCCAGTCTCTGCTTCTTCATTGCATCACTGTCTCCTTTGACACTGATTCTCACTCTTCTGCTTCCCTCTTATAAGAACCTTGTGATTACATCAGATCCACCAGATAATCCAGGATCATCTCCATCTCAAGATCTTTAATTTACTCACATCTGCAAAATACTCTTTGGCATGTAAGATAAAATTCATAGGTTCCCGGGATTAGAACATGGACATATCTGGGGAGCCATGAATCTACCACCCGCACCCTAGCACCAACAGGAATATTTTGAAACAAATCTCAGACATTTTATTTAATCCATAAATATGTCAGTGCATGCTTCCCAGAAGATAAAGACTTAAAAAATAACTGCAATACCATTATCATACCTAAAAACATTAATAAGAATTCTTTAATATCATCAGCTATTTAGTCAGTGTTTCAGTTTTACCTAATTGTCTCATAATTTTATTTTAACAAATGGTTTATTCAAATTGAGAAATGTTTCTTAGGTCTCTTTTAATCTGTCAGTTCCCTTTCCTTTTCCTTTACTTCCTTCTTTGTAATGTTGAGAGAACTAGATTGTTTGTCCTACGGAATTTGGCAAATGTGTTCCTGTGGTCATTCACATGTGGTTTTTTTTTTCCTGTATTTTCCATAAACTGGTAGTTAGGTCTTGAGACTTGGTCATATTTATGGCCGAGAATTTGATTTTATGGCCAAGAATGCTTCATCAATAGTATGACTTTCTATTGTACCACACGGGGAAGCCAATGTCTGTTGTCTCCCTCCTGTGATGTTAAGGTTGGTTGCTGAGTTGAGGTGTTGAGCACTCCATCCTTCTTGTATCAAATTCCCCATCAGCTTTTTACCTACATTGGTGATTATGGCTTAGATTCATTACTTCATGAGGGGGGGTTACGACATAGTCATAATCTAATTCTGTCATTCAGTTTTCATTTTTAGCCAGAATTCTTATATAAAAAAATAAACTTTCCTCTATTTGATTATCTTGAGGTACAATTTATGAAAGAAAGACAGGAGAAATGTCTAATTCTTTCTCCTAATGCATCCATTTGCAGAATAGTAACTGGTTTTCTAGCATCCTACAAGGATGAAAAAGTGTTTGTGTATGAATGTATGTGCATTAGTAGGAAGTCACGGTTTCGTATATTCGTGATATTTCAGTTCTTTGCAGAAGTTATTCTTTTTCAAATTGCCCCATCTTTAGCCAATGAGAGCCCCTTCAGATTGGCTACAGACTCTTTTGACATTAACCTAGAAACTTCATTGTTTTCTGATGTAACAAAATGTTTTAGACTCATCTTGTATATTTACTGTCCCAAATATCAAATCAGTGTTTACTCCAAAAAAGCCCGTGTTTCTTTTAGTAGGAAACGGTATTTAGAGACCATACTCTAAATCCTGTAGATCAGGGGTCTCCAACCCCCGGGCCATGGACCAGTACCAGTCCGCGGCCTGTTGAGAACCGGGCTGCACAGCAGGAGGTGAACAGCAGGTGAGTAAGCGAAGCTTTTTCTGTATTTGCAGCCAATCCCCATTGCTCATATTACTGCCTGAGCTCCGCCTCCTGTCAGATCAGTGGTGGCATTATATTCTCCTAGGAGCCTGAACCCTATTGTAACTGCACATGCCGGTGATCCAGGTTGTTTGCTCCTTATGAGAATCTAATGCCTGACGATCTGTCACTGTCTCCCATCACCCCCAGATGGGACCATCTAGTTGCAGGAAAACAAGTTCAGGGCTCCCACTGATTCTACATTATGGTGAGTTGTATAATTGTTTTATTAAATATTATAATATAATAGAAATAAAATGCACAATAAATGTAATGCGTTTGAATCACCCCGAAACCATCCCTAACCCCCTTGATCTGTGGAAAAATAATCTTTTATGAAACCAGTCCCCAGTGCCAAAAAGGTTGGGGACCACTGCTGTAGATGCTCAGAGCTACTTGGCCTTATCATTAGTCGAATCTAGAAAATTGTGTACCAAAAGAACTGATATCACCGGTTTATACTGTTATTTTCAACTCAAAGTTAATATTACATGGTTTTACTTAATTTATGTTATATTATATTTGTATTTATTTTCTCTTATGCTGAAAATTTTGGTTCCAAATATCCTCAGTATAATGACATATATATATATATAAAAGCATATGTATGTACATATTTCTCTCTATATATGAAATAATATATCCTCTCTATATGTAATAGTATACTGATATATATATAAAATATACTAATGCAAATACACATGTAATAGTATATTAGGAGTATAATATATAGATACATATAGTTTTATAAGAATAATAGTGATGTTATTAATACTATAAAAACAACTTAAGATTTAACTACAGTTTCTTTTGTTCTTAAGATAAATTCTACTAGAGATGTACAGTTAAATCGCAGAGTTTTAAAACCACTGTAATTAATTCCCCTTAGTGTAATTAAACCACCAACTCGATGCATAGTTAGCTCAATGCACCAATAAGCTTATGGGCTTATTAGTTTTATTTTGCTTTCTACTTAGTGATTGCTATTTTTAAGCATATGTAACACTAACCTTATGGTTCAAAGTCAAGTGTATAAAACAAGATGCATTCAGAGAAGTATGACTCTTATTCTGTCTCCAACCTGACTTTTATTCTCTCTTCTACCTTCCATCTATAGAGAACCATTTTAATTCAATTTTTATCCTTCTACTGCTTTTTAATAATTTAGCCATAGATATTCATAATCCCCGGTTAGGCAAAAGGTGTGGGACTAAACACACTGTTCTGCATCTGGCGCCACAACTTTTGAAAGTAAAACTCCCTAGGCTTGGGAAATAGACCATTATTTACTTTCTTACTGTAGACCTATCAGTCGTTCTATCAGAAAAGGGTCAGTCCTGCAAAAATGGGAAACCAGAATCCTCTTTAGATTTTAGATTTTTCAGGGGTGTGTTTGTGACTCACACTGTGATGATATTAATGTTTTACTCATTATAATTCCAGTATACCACCCCAAAATCCCCCAAAACAAACAACAGTCATAATTAATTGTATGCACTGATTTTGGACATACTGCTTTATTTTCAGCCAGATGGTTTGCCAAAAAAATATTTTTCTATGTTACTATGTGATAATTATAAACATGGTTTTAATAGTAATTGATGTTCCAGTAAGTGCACATACTATAACTTGCTTACCATATTTCATTGAAGGGCATTTGGTTGGTTTCTAACTTTTTGTTATATGATAGTTTAAAACACTAATTTCTCTTTGCTCAAGAGCCCTGAAGCTTTGAACTGATGGGGACTGACACCATTTAGCTAAAAGATATCTTGTTCTTACTTTCCTGGGGTCCTTTTTTTGAGGGGTGGAAGTGTGAGGAAACATGGAGATCTTCTCAACCCAAAGAAAGCCTTTTACTCAACAATTTCAAGAGAAGAAAAATATGCAAAGTACAAAAGATGAAGATAGAAGGGAAAATCGCCTTTTATATTAGGTTAAATTTTTGAGATAGGGTCTTGCTCTGTCACCCAGGTGGGAGTGCAGTGGCACGATCACAGCTCACTGCAGCCTCAACCTCCTGGGCTCGATTAATTATCTTACCTTAGCCTCCAAGTCTAGGTCCACAAGCACACACCACCATGTCTGGCTAATTTTAAAATTTTTTGTAGAGATGGGGTCTTGCAATGTTGTTGAGACTGGCCTTGAACTCCTGAGCTAAAGTGATCCTTCTGCCTAGGCCTCCCAAAGTGTTGGGATTACAGGTATGAGCCACTGTGCCTGGCCTGAGGCTGTTTAAAAGAACAAAAATCTTTATAAAAAGTTTCATTGCTGTTTCTTTTCTAAAATAAGTTGTCTATACCAGTGGCATGCAAAATGTATCATATCAGATTTAATATGTGAATAATGAGGGAAACTGTGACTTTGGACAGAAGACTGTCGTAGACTGCTCTAGTAGAACAGAATCTTAGCTAATCACCATGCAGATCCCCTGGGTTTTAGAGTTCATACTGATCCTCAACTGGGGGCTAACAATGGTTTCTCATTTATCATTTTCCCCTGCTTGTTCAGCATTCTACTTGAAGCCACAGAGAATGATGGAGCTTACATATTTCCTTTGATAAGATGAAGAAATGAAAACATACATTAATGAAAAATAATTCCAGAGGTTTTTTGGACTATAGGAGTTAAGAGGAGCTGACCAGTGAGCCTGTGGTTGTCCATGAAGGTTCTGTGGGGTAGAGTTTGAACTGTCCCTATCCAGAATAGTAGGAGGGACAGAGATGCTTATGAGTGAAGGCCGCAGAACAAGGATGGCATGACTTGTTCATGGGGCTGGGGAGAACCAGTCTGACCAGACAGAAAGGGTTATTGTGGTTTGACGGTCGGTGAAGGTTGTTAGGTGGCCTTTGGCCACATAAGAGAGTGTTAGAAGGTAGACAGATTATTTTAAGTGTGATGAAACAAGTAGCAGTTGGTATGTAGAGAAGTGGGGAGAGGTTTGATGAAAAGCAGTGTGTTAGAAAGACGGTTGGCAACACTATTAAGAGTAGATTAAAAAGGAAAAGGAATGTGAAATTAGAGAGACCAGAAAGGAACCTATTATGATAATAAAGTCATGATTCCATGGAAAGCTGACCAGAATGATGATACTATTAGAGAAGAGAGAGGAGAAGTAAGGCCAATTTTTTCTTTAATTAATGAGTCTTAGTGACTGAATGTGGGAAATAACAGAGTAGTGATTCCAGGATTTTAAGCGTCGGTGATTGTGAGAATGGGCAATGCAAAGTATTGATTAAATCAGCAGCATTAGGGTTGGGAACTAGATTAGAATGGGAGGGGGATGATATAGTGAATTCCTCCCTCCCTCCCTCTCTGCCTTCCTCCTTACCTTTCTCCTTCCCTCTTTCTTTTCTTCCTTCCCTTCCTCTCTTCCTTCCTTCTCCCCTTTATTTCTTCTTATCTTTACATCATTATTTACTTTTACATTTAGCAACTATTCTATTCCCTGGAGCTCTGGTACCAATAAACAAAAGAAACACCATCTTCGCTCTCTTGAAGCTTACATTTCATTAAGCAGAGTGGCAGATAAAAGAACAAGATAACTCAGATAGTCATGGTGCTACAAAGAAAATAAAATAGGCTTATGTGCTAGCTGGTGATTGAGGCTGCAGGGACTGGACAGTACTACTTTAGACTGGAGCTTCTGGAAAGCGACTTAGGGGAAACACTCAGGTGTCAGCCATGTGAAGATCTGGTGACATTTCAGGTCATTGCAGGCAGAAAAAAACAAATACGCAAAGATAAGAACAGCCTTGGAGCGTGTGAAGAACAAAATGAAAGCTGAGGGCATGGGAGGGTACATCGTAAGAGCAAGGAGGTGAGGCCAAAGTGTGTTTCAGTCAAGGACAGATCAGGACACAGAAACCACCTAGTAATTTAAACAGGGATGGTCTAATACAAATAATTATTAATTTTAACAGAGAACTGGAGTCATGAGGGATTCACCAGTAGGAAGTAAAGACAAGTCTAAAAAATGTAAGAGCAGCAGATATATGAAGCAGCTACCACCCATAGGACTGAGATACAGGGTTTCCTGCCCCCAAGATAAGACCAGACCTGGTTAGAGACAGCATGACCATGGCAAACTGGATAGCCAAGAAGTCAGTGTCATGCTGCAGCAGTGTAACCTGCTGGAAGTGCCTTCTGGAAGAACTTTCTGAAAGTTCTTCATCACCCTCCATGATGCCAAGGAAAGCTGTTCATAGGGAGTTGTTTCACCAGTGGCAATCTGCTACGAAAAGGGCTTCTGGGAAATGCTGGCATCCAGATGCTGGGGAAGCTGCCCAGACAGTAGAAGCTGAATTCTGGGGAAGCTGTATGCTTGCAGGAGTCAGGGGGTGCAGAAGCTGAGTGCTGGAGAAGCCACTGTATCACAGGAGCTGGGTGCAGAGGAAACAACGCGTGCTTCAGAGGCTGGGTGCTAGAGGCCTGTGCATGTTGTAGGAGCAGGGTCTAGAGAAGCCATCTGCGTTTCAGGAGCTGGCTGAGAACACACTGATATGGGCCCGGGGGTGGGGTGGGGGTGGGGGTGGGGGGAGGTAGAGGAGTGGCAGGGAGGGAGGTAGTGGGTGGGGCAGTAGGGGAGAGGGGGTTGGGGGGTTGGGGGGAAGGGTTGGGGGTTGGGGGGAGGGGGTGGAGGTGGGGTGGGACCCTTTCCTCCTGCAAGGCCTTTCTAGCTCCCTCTACTGACAAAACTTAATACTGTGTCAGCTAGCAAAGAAAATACCTAAAGGGATCAGCTAAATTTTTGCTGAGCAGTCAATGTACATTTGGAGCTGAGAGGCAATAAACTGGCATAGAGAAGTAGCAATGGCTCTGATCTCTGAGGGCCTCGCAGTCGTGTTGATGATTGTATTCATTTAGATGCTGGTTGTGGTTAGTGCTTGACATTTTAACTAATTTTTTCTTCCAATTCCAATGAAATAGATAATTTTATTATTCCCACTTTACAGACAAGAAAACTGAGGCTGAGGGAGGTTAAATCGCTTGTCCACAATCACATGCTAGTGCGGCATGGGGCCAGGATTCAAACATGAGCAGTCAGTCTAACTCCAAATCTGCCCCCAGACTCCATAAAGTCATTACTGATCTTTGAACAGACAGATAAATGTATCAGGAAAGATAAATACTTAAAATAACTTTGCAGTCAGTCCTTCTGTAATTAAATCAGCCACCTCTATTTTACAGATTTTATGAATTTAGAAATTTTAGTTACTTTTAAAGTAAAGTACAAGTTTACCAGGAAGTACAAATTAAAATAAAACGTGGAGAATACAACACCTTTCAAAGGAAAGTAGAGAAATTGGATGATTGAGGTAATTAGAAAATAATATTTTGAGTATAGTTTGATGGATTTCAGGCTTCTTCAGCTTGACAAAAACAGAAAAGAGGGGGAAAGTTCAAAAATATTATTATGGATTTGAAGAGATGTCACTCAGAAGATCTTGATAAAATGTTCCTCATCCCTAGTGGATGGGGGGCGTGGGTGGCAGGGTACAAAACGAAACATGGAACCAGTGATGGGCTTTTAGGAAATTCTATATGGAGCTTTTACCATGCACCAGACCTCAGGCTGGGGACCAGGGGTACAAGGATGAGTAAGGCATCTGGCCTTCCCTTAAGGAGCTTGTTGTCTCATGGCTGGGACATGATAAGGACATTACTACAGACATACATGAAGAGCTAAAGGAATAATATATGGAGGAAGAACTAGTTCTGCCCAAGGGGGAAGTCAAGGGAAGGTACCAAGAAAGTATAGCATTTGAGTTGGATGAAGAACTGGCCAAGACAGCTGAGGAAAGGGAGATGTAGATTAGGGGCCGACACAAGTAAGGGGTTGGCAAGGACATGAACTGAACGGGGTTTGAGGAAAAAGCTTAGCACGGGGTCAAGAACGTAGATTTTGGGGTTAGAGTACCTAATTCTGGCCTCCTCAATATTTTCTAGTTTCATGATCTTGGTCAAATTATTTAATCTCTCTAAATTTCAATTTCTCTGTCTATACAAGAAAATAAAGTAGGCCGGCCATGGTGGCTCACGCTTGTAATCCCAGCACTTTGGGAGGCCAAGGTGGGTGGGTCACCTGAGGTCAGAAGTTCGAGACCAGCCTGGCCAACATGGTGAAACCCCATCTCTACTAAAAATACAAAAAAAATATTAGCCAGGCATGGTGGTGCATGCCTGTAATCCCAGCTACTTGGGAGGCTGAGGTAGGAGAATTGCTTGAACCTGGAAGGCGGAGGTTGTAGTGAGCTGAGATTGTGCCATTGCACTCCAACCTGGGCAACAAGAGTGAAACTCCATCCCCCCACCCACCAAAAAAAAAAAAAAAAAAAGAAAGAAAATAAAGTAGTACCCCCTTCAGTGTGTTATTATGCAGACTGAATGGTATGAAAAGCATGTTTTCACCATTACTGGCACATGCTCAGTTAACGTTTTCCTGCCATTCGTAGCAGCAGGATGAGGAGTATTGAAAAGGCTAAAGATTAGAGTTCTGGGAAGAATAATAAGGATTAGATGTCAGAAAGTGTGTCATGACATATTTGTGTGTATGCGTGTGGGTACACAGAATTTTGAAATAGTTTTCAATTGAAGCCTTTGTTTGTAACCAGTAGCACAGGGAGATGTTCAGTTTTGCACATAATAATGAATATCTGTTATGTCTGTTAGCCATTTGTAACTACTATTGTTGTTTCTGTCATCTCCAGTAAAGTGTTTCTGTATTTTCACAAAAATGAGCAAGACCTACCACAAAAAATTATCAGGTAAGGGTGACTTTATGGGTCCCCTGCTGTGTATTTGACACCAAAATGACTCATCACATGAGTTCCTAAGTGCTATGTTTGGTTTCAGTGTAGAATAGGAGATTGTGTTTCCCAGGTAGAAAAGGAGACTTTGAAATCTTTCTCATAAAATGCGTGAAAATCTGGTGCCATCAGATCATGAGTCTTGTCATCAGGATGGGACTCACTCTTGGATCCATCAACCAGCTAGCTAGGTAACTCTGAGCAAATACCAGATGCTCTTCAGCCTGTGTCCTGATCTGTAAAGTTGAGATCATAATAGTAATACTTCACAGTGAAATTGTACACTAGAATGAAAGAATGCATAAAAAGTGCCTCGTACCCTGCCACGCACAGAGAGGGTGATACACATCGGTCCCCTCATCCAGCATCTTCTAATTCACCCCTCCCTGTCCCCAGCTTCTCCTGTCTGGGGATCTCAAGTTGGGAATGGTCATCTTTGGATGAAGCTGCCATGTTTATGTGGACTTAGAGGCAGATATTCTATTGGGAATTCAATGGATGCATAAGGCAGTGTAGGGGAACTGATTTTTAGGGAGCAATATGAAGTCAGAGAAATTGCACTCTTATCTCTACTTACGTTCCTCATGGTCCCTTTTATTCTTTTATGACAAATGTTACTTCAAGCTACAGTAGTGTTTTCACCAGGGGCTGAAGGAATTGATGGAGTTGTTTTCTTTAGAATGAGCCGTAACATCCCTTTGTTCACAGAGATTGTAAATCCTGCATCTTTCAGATTAGATCATGTATGTTCAATATCAGTAGGAAACAAACAGAGAAGTAAATATTTGCTACAAAATGTCTTTCTGCTGCCTTGAAAATGAGTTTCCTAAATCTGACATGTCAGTTACCCTGCTTCATCTGTTTCACATTTAGAGTCAAAGGAAAACAATCCCCCACAGCAAGGAGCCTGTCACTTCACTTGGTGTATCCAGTGAAGATAATGTGACCACAGTGCAGTGGGATTGAATACTGATAAGGATGTGGCGGGCCATGCTTAAAGTTTGGTGTCTCATTCAAATGACTGGCTGAGAGATGAAAAGAAAACAAAAATTAATCCCCCTCCTGGAACCTTATACTGATTCACTTAGTGGTTGGTTGCTGCTCTAAGGTCTGTCTCCTTTTCCCCCCATTAATAATCATAATCAAATAGCCATTATTGGTTTTTGGCAACAGGGTAATTACTTTCTCGTCCTTATTTTCTGGGACAGTCGGTCTGTTCATGAGAAAGGGCGGTTGTGCAATCGTTCTCCCTACGTCAACTCTGAGAAGTCGGTTGTGCCCTGCAGATATTGATGTCAGCCTGTTTGCTCTCTGGTGGAGTGAAAGAAGAAAATAATTTTATTGTGCTATTTTTAGACTTCAATTTAGATTGCAGCCTTTATGATACTTTGTGTACTGGGGATAGAACTGTTGATGCAGAATTCAGCTGTGAGATGCTCTAGGTTCTACCTGCCCCTGAAAGATTTTTTTCGCTTAGCCTGAATGCCTTAGAACTATTCAGTCACATTGCCTTCATCGTCAGCTGAAAGCTGAGCCATGACAATAGGGTTAAGATGCACTTTGTATTGACAGTGTTTGCCGATGGAACTTGCTGCCAGCAGTCTCCAAGTCTGCAATTTGCCTGTAAAGGCCTAATCTGATCTTTTATATGCATAAATAATCAGCACCATACAAATTCTCTATGAACAAAATGAGTTTATTGACCATTCTTGCTTTTCTAAATAGTTTTCCAGAGGTGATAGATGAAAGCCAGACAAGAAAAAAATATTTCTTTGCTGGATTTCCTTCTGAACAAACAAGAAGGACCCAGGTACCTGGGACTCCAGGTATCTTTTTCTCAGCTGGGATGGAAGGCCATGGACTAAAGCAGTCTTCCTAGTTCTTTGGTATTAGCAATGAGCTGGTCTTAAACTTCAAAGGGATCTAAGAAAGTGCCAGTAATACCTGTCTGAGCTTGTTTTGTGACGTGTATGTTACCACATGTATTAAAATTCAGATCAATTTGCATCTAAATTATATGAGTGCATGTGACTTGGCAATCCAGAAGCTGTCAATTTTAGTTTATAAGAACCTCAACTTGGGCCTGGTATGGTGGCTTACACCTGTAATCCCAGCACTTTAGGAGGCTGGAGCAGGTGGATTTGAGGTCAGGAGTTCAAGAGCAGCCTGACCAATATGGTGAAACCCCGTCCCTACTAAAAATACCAAAATTAGCCGGGTGTGGTGACGTGTGCCTGTAGTCCCAGCTACTCAGGAGGCTGAGGCAAGAGAATCACTTGAACCTGGGAGGCAGAGGTTACAGCGAGCCGAGATCGCGCCACTGCACTCCAGCCTGGGCGACAGAGTGAGACCCTGTCTCAAATAAAAAAGAACCGCAACTTGGTCCTTGCTACTCCAAGTGTGGACTGCAGACCGACAACATTGACATCACATGGGTGTATTTAAAAATGCAGAATCTCAGGCACTTCCCCAACCTACAAATCAGCACCTGCCTTTTAATAATATTCCCCAAGTGATTCATAGGCACGTTAATTATTTTTTAAGTCACAAATCTTTTTAAAAATCTACTATGATCTGAATGTTTATGTCTCCCTCAAATTCATATATTTGGACCTAATCCCCAGTGCAATGATGTTAAGAAGTGGCACCTTTGGTGGTGATTAGGTCACGAGGGTGGAGCCCTCACGAGTGCTGATTAGCGCCTGTATAAAAGAGGGCCCAGGGGGCTCCCATATTCCTTTCACCGTGTTAGGATACAGCAAGAAGGCACCACCTGCAAGAAATTGGGAACTTACCAGACATCAAATTTGCTGTCCCCTTGATCTTGGACTCCCCACCCTTCAGAACTGTGAGAAATAAATTTCTTTTGTTTATAAGCCACCCAGTTTATGGCATTTTTATTATAGCAACTGGAACAGACTAAGACAGAATCCCATAAAATCTGTGGAACCTCTTCCCATAAAAATGTACCTACACACACAATTTGTATATAATTTCAATGGTGCAAGTTCCGTGGACTTCAATGACACTTCCATTCATTGGAAGCAGAGAGCATGCCTGAGGGAGCCCCCAAGTGCCATGTGCCCCGAACAATGCTGACCCATACTGCTCCTTGATTGTCACATTGACCAGGTCTTCACCTTCATGCCCAGACCTTGTCTATGTAAGCAGCACCAGCCTCTGGGGTGTCCCATGTCAGCCTCAGCAGTCCCTTTCATCCATGTGGCTCTCATTAACCAGTCCTTGCTATCATTTTCCTTGCCTGGCTACTCTGGTCTTTTGCTTTCTCCTTCCCCAGTTTAGGGACTGGTGGGTACAAACATTTTAGAATGACCATGAAGTAATATCAGTTAGCTGAAACATATCTATCAAGATTCTTTCCTACCCAGGTCAGGCTCATAAACAGATGAGATGGAGAAAATAGGTCTTCCTGCTGTTTCAGCTGACGGTCCACCCATGCTGCAGGTCCTGCTGGAAGTTCACTTCTGTGTTCTGGTCTGTGCTTTGATTTCTTCTAATCTTTGGTGATGGCATAAAGATAACGCAATGCAGGCTAAAGAAAACCCTTTAAGAAATCTGTTCACTTACTGGCGGATTTGCTTATCATAGGCATGCCCTGACCTTGAAGAGTCCTTGCTCTGGTAGGGAAGCGCATGTACATGGATGATTAAAATAAATGCTTCATGTCAAAATACAGGTACAGAATGCTATTTTGCTACGAAGGAAAGAATAACTAGCTTTTCCAAGAGGAGTGAGGGAGAGCATCAAAGAGAGCTGGCTTTTAAGGGATAAAGCAGACATTGCCTGAGATAAGAGCTATAGAATTGCTTATTGTGAGAAACTACAGAGTTGGGAAGATCGAGATGAGACAGGCATATGAGCAGAAGTGAGAGACCTGGCAGGAATAAGAGCTAGCACTTAGACCCTGCTTGCTGTAGGGCGTGCACAGGTCTAAGTGCTTTATATCAAGTACCTGTGCAGTTCTCTCCACAGTCCAACAATCCTTCCATTATGGATGAGGAAACACATGCGCACCGAGTTCAGTATCTTACCTAACGCTGTGCGACTGCAAGCGGTGGAGCTGGGCTTTGAACCTATGCAGTCTGGCTTCTACACTACACTTCCAGGCAGAGGGCATCTCCCTGTGCTTCTGGGATAAAACTTGCAGCACTGCCTTGTCTAGGACTCAAGAGGCACTGTTTTCTCCTCCCCTACTGGTTCTGCAGTCTTTCCAACTCTTTCCACTTCATCAATGAGCCATGTCCATCCTCACATCACTATGTGTCTGTGTAATACTTAGGGCCACTGAGTTATGGGGAAAAAGAGAAATGGATATTTCTTAGTATTGTCTGGTGGTTCTGTTATCTCACAGTTCATGGAAACCAGATCACTACAGGCACAAGGCATTACCATCAGTCTCAGAGAAGGCCTGACACCCTGTTATAGATCAGAGAGTCCTGGCCACCACTAAAGGTCTTGGAAAGACACGGGGAAGGCAAGCAGAAGCACAGGTGGCCTGAAGACATCTCCTTCCGGCCAAGAGTCCCCCTGCTCATCCCCCACCCCACCCAGGCACCACCCTCCACAGCTAAAGGTGTTTATGCTGTAGGAACCCTGTGGTGGTAGGAGATCGGGGGTGATAGGGCTGCTTGGATAGGAAACATATGTGATTGTTGGCACTGCTCTTCATACTGTTGTCAAATTCCTCACTGCTTCTGTGTACTTGGGGTGACAGTCTGACAGCCTGTGAGGTCAGACAAAGCCCAGATTACTTCCCTCTCGCCTTTCCGTCTCGCACTTGTGGGCTGCCATTCTTAAAGGAGTCACGTGTGGGCTTTCTTTGCCAGAAGTAGGCATGGCTTACATCTTTTGGGTTTGGGCACTGGAAATGACTCTGCTTCCCCTGCAGACACACCCTGATGAGGCTGCAGGCCACTAGCTCTGCTCCTTTTTCAACATCAGAAACAGAGGCTGACCATTGCTGGGACATTTCCCTTCTCCTGCTCCTAACTTTGTCATAGACGTCTCCTGAACTGCAGTTACTGTGTTTGGAGGTAACATCATCCCCTTCTTTGGTTTGTGGGTAGGGAATACCAGATACGAGGGAGAGCATCCCTAAGGCCTTCACCTGACACCAGTCCTGCCTGTATGTCCTGCAGTTCTCATGGTAAGCCATCAGCCTCGCCAGGCGGCACCTGTGTGCCAAGCAGCATGGCTTATTCATTGTCTTCTCTAGAACACAGAATAGTTTGGGGACATTTCTATGTTTTCTTTCTCCAACAGCCAGATATATGTGTCCACTTAGCTGCACATAATTATTGTCTCTCTAACTCTTTGACCTACACATTTGTCAGATAAAATATTTTGGGTGAGAGCTTGTTAGCAGATCTATTTCCATTCCACTCTTGGCATTTATTAGCGAGCCCTCTTCGGGAAGCCGTATGTTCTGAGAAGTAGGAAGAATAACGCATTTTACCTATAGTGCAATGTCTGGCCAGCGCCTATTCTTTCTGGGTTGAGCTGCTGGAATGTATTCAGGGGATAAGCTGAGAGGCAATTTACGAGGAGTGCTCTCTCCTTGTCTTGCTCCTGCTTCCCTTTAAAATTCCTTGGCTGCCCTTAGTGTGGCATGTGTTTCCATTTATCCTATAGTTCTCAAGACTCAATGGAGCTCTTGTACTTCTGAAGGGCACTTACTAGGAAGCCCTTCTCCCTGACGTTGAGCTTGCACTGATCAAAACGGGGGGCCCCACAAACCATCACAGGGATATCTATGCAAAGAGGGAATGTTTAGCACCAAAGTTAAGGACTGTGCATGCTTTGGCAGAATTACAAAAGGAAAAATAAGTGGACAAAGTATGTTACTTTTTTTTTATTATTATAGGGTGTGTGTGGTTTATTTGAACATCAACAAAAACACAACAGAAAGGGGTAAAATGTAAAGGAAAAGCCCCTTTGCTGTCCTCCAACCCTGAGGAAGCTGTTAGCAGTTTTAAGTGCATCCTTCCAGAAATATCTCCCTCATGTATGGACATATATGTCCTTTAGTTAGTTTTAGAAAATTCAAATGGAATCATAACAGAATTTTGTTCTGTGCCTTGCCGTTTTTGCTTAATTTTTCTTGGAGGTCTTTCAACTTTAAGAGGTAAAAATGGCTGTATGATATGTAACAATAAGTGTGGCTGATTCCAATTTTCTCCATTTGGTTGTTTCCAGTTATTTCTCATGCTGCAATGATCATCCTTTTTTATATGTCTCTTTTACCTTGTCTGAATATTCCTGTAGAGTAAATGCCTAGAAGAGGAATAGCTAGTGAAAAGGACATGTGCATTTTAAATTTTGACCAATATTGCTGAATTACTTTCCTAAAAAAGGCAGCTGACGTATCCCTCACCTTTAAAACAGCAAACTATACAACTCTCAGACCTTTGTCTCCGAATCTGTGCATCTTTATATTGGATGCAAATCACGTGTTGATTGGCTGGTTTTTTTTCTTCCTCTGCCTTTTTTGCTTATTTTCTTTTGGGATATTTGCTTTTTTACTTCTTGACTTTCAAAACTCTTTGCTGGTTAATAAATCTAACTCATAGACCATGCAACGTGTTAGAAATATTTTTTTCTAATATGTCATTTGTATTTTGACTTTCATTTATGGCACGTTTGCCACATAAGAGTTTAAATTGATATGGGTCTAAATTTTTCACTGTTTTTCACTTTTGGATTTCAGGTTTGTGTTTGCTTAGAAAGTTTTTCCCCACTTCGAGTCAGTCAAATAATGTAAAAATTTTCATTTAGCTATTGGGCAGCTTAGAAGCCAATACTAGACTGGCCAAATAGAGTGGCATGTTGAGACTTACCCTGAGATTTTAGTTTTTAATGCAGCGAATCCATTGGGATCACTTATAAAAAAGGATTTTACCCTATTAATCTTTACTAGAATGGATATTTTTAAACTTAATTTTTTTGTGCTTCTCATTGTAGGAGTCCTTTGAATGTAGCTTCCCTGAGTGTTCATTCAGTTCATTAGTTATTGAGTTCTTATAGTGGATGACATCTTGCTAGTCTATAGGCTTCATAGGGTTTTAAAAAATGAATACGAAATATTCCCAAACCTGATTAATTACATACAGTAGAAGAGGGCGTCTGTAGACAAAACCCAGAGATCAAGGCAGAATGTAACAACTCTCTTGAGAGTACTACAAAATGCCATGTGGTTCAGAGAAAGGACATCACATATGGTTGTGAGGTCAGGGAAGAATTTTATATTAAAGTGACATGAGCCTTGAGATGGGCCTTGATGAAATGGTTGGATTTCAATGGGTGTGGATTTTAGAGAAAGGGCATAAGAAGTATGCATCTGTAATTAGAAACCTGTGCATTTGTTCTGGGAAGAGTGAGAGGTCCACTTTGCAGGTGTGTGGAGAACTCACAGGGGTGCAATGAATGAGTCCAGAGTAGGGCTGAGGGCATCTTGGGAAAGGCCTCTGAGAATTTTACTCTCCATTTGAAAAGGAATAAGAGGCATTCACGTTTTTGGAGCAATACTAGATGGGATAGATTGGAAGTATGAAATATTTGAAGGCAGAAAGGCCCATCACTAATTGTAGTTTTCCTGGAGTAAAGAAATAAAATGCTTAATGTGGAGTAGTACTGGAAATGGGGAAAAGCAGACCTGAACAATATTCTCAGTTTATAATCTGTAAGAGGGTACTGGGGCTGAGGAAAATAACAAGTTTAAAAATGACCAAGATTTCTAGCCTTCATTTGGTTCACTCTCTTAACATGCATTGAGTTCTTGCTTTATGTCAGCACTGCTCTGGGCGCTTGGACTAGAGGAGTTGAGGAGTTGGCACGAGACAGGATCCCTGCTCTCAAGGGGCCACAGAAAACAAACAGGCCAGGATGATGGCAGGTATAAGGAAACCATGAAAAAAAATGGAGAAATTAAGAAGAAGGGCTTGTTTGATGGGGAGCCCTGATAACTTTGATTCTGTGTCTTAAAACTTCAATTCATGCTTCATATAATTATCAATTTAATTATTGCTGGTGGTGTTCTCTTTCTCTCTTCACCCTGGTATACTACGGAGTGATACAGGAAAATAAATTGTTATTCGAATTTTAAATAGGCTGCAAAGTTGGAAAGCACTTTAAAATCTGAGGCTGGTTGGCTTATCCACAACAGGAAAGGGAAGTATGTTACACTAATGATGAGAATAGATCTTTGATTTCTGATTATATCTTAGTTTCTTCACCTGTGAAATAGAGACCTGTCCTAAAACAGTCCTTGTACTTTGCTCACAGTTTGGTGAGTCATAAATTTGGGAAGGTCTTGCCTGGGCATTTCTCTGCACGGGCCTGCACCAGGGCTGAACGTGCACAATGGCTCACTGGTGTGGCTGGCAATGGCAACAGCTGTCAGCTGGGATCCCAGAGGGGGCCACTGACCAGGCATGTAGTCCCTCCAGCATGACAGTCTTGGGCTAGATAGACTCCTTGCATGACAGCTGGCTTGTCTCAGAGCAAGTGTCCCAGAAGAACCAGGTGGAAGCTACAGGGCCTTTCCCTACCTTGCCTTGGAAGTTAGATGGCATTACTCCCTCTCTGTTCTATTGATTACTCCAAGGAAGGCACCAAGGTCAGCCCAGATTCAAGAGAGGAGGATATAGATACCAGCTCTTTATTATAGGAATGTCAAAAGAGTAAAGGTTATGTTTTTAAAACACTACAATGTAGCAATACCATCTTACCTCATGAGGTTGTCTTGAAGACTAAATGAAGTAATATATGTACAACCCTTAGAACAGCACCTGACCAAAAATTATTAACAATGGTGATGATGGTGGTGCTGGGAGTGGGGATGGGGATGAGGATGATGAGGATGATGATGAGTAGCTGCACTGCCTTTCTGCAAAATGTCCCTTGTTGTCTGGCAGGTTGAGTTTTGGAAAGAATGGTTTTACCTAATTTATATTTCCTATAACTATGAAGGGGATTGTCATCGGTTAATTGCCTTAATCTCATCACCTTCTAACTAACAATCCAGGGAGGGGTTGCTATCCATTGTGTTCTAAGGGAGACCTGAATATAAACTAAATTCTATTAGGAAGGGCAAGACAAGAAAGAGAGGGTAGTTTCAACCAACAATGACCTCTACATGTTCCTCGTTAAATACTCTTTCTTATATTACATTTCTTCCTTTCATATTATGAAATGGCATTGGAGAAGAAGACTAAAATTTCCAAAAGTTCAGTGGAAAATAGTATTACTTTTTCTTTCTTAGAAAATAGAAGACAAAGGAATAAAATTTAAACATGTCTAATAACAACATTTTTTTTTTCTGAATTGGAGGTTAAGTTGCCCAGGGAAAAACATGCCTACAGACACATGAGGACTATTCTACCTTCATCAGTTTGCAGTGGAAAATTTAGTACTATTGGCCATTCACATATCAGATATTTTACACCATCATATAAAAAGACCTGGTTATTTTCTTTTTTTCTTTTTTTATTTATTTTATTTTATTATTATTATACTTTAAGTTTTAGGATACATGTGCACAATGTGCAGGTTAGTTACATATGTATACATGTGCCATGCTGGTGTGCTGCACCCATTAACTCGTCATTTAGCATTAGGTATATCTCCTAATGCTATCCCTCCCCCCTATCCCCACCCCACAACAGTCCCCAGAGTGTGATGTTCCCCTTCCTGTGTCCATGTGTTCTCATTGTTCAATTCCCACCTATGAGTGAGAACATGCGGTGTTTGGTTTTTTGTCCTTGCAATAGTTTACTGAGAATGGTGATTTCCAATTTCATCCATGTCCCTACAAAGGACATGAACTCATCATTTTTTATGGCTGCATAGTATTCCATGGTGTATATGTGCCACATTTTCTTAATCCAGTCTATCATTGTTGGACATTTGGGTTGGTTCCAAGTCTTTGCTATTGTGAATAGTGCCGCAATAAACATACGTGTGCATGTGTCTTTATAGCAGCATGATTTATAGTCCTTTGGGTATATACCCAGTAATGGGATGGCTGGGTCAAATGGTATTTCCAGTTCTAGATCCCTGAGGAATCGCCACACTGACTTCCACAATGGTTGAACTAGTTTACAGTCCCACCAACAGTGTAAAAGTGTTCCTATTTCTCCACATCCTCTCCAGTACCTGTTTTTCCCTGACTTTTTAATGATTGCCATTCTAACTGGTGTGAGATGGTATCTCATCGTGGTTTTGATTTGCATTTCTCTGATGGCCAGTGATGATGAGCGTTTTTTCATGTGTCTTTTGGCTGCATAAATGTCTTCTTTTGAGAAGTGTCTGTTCATATCCTTCGTCCACTTTTTGATGGGGTTGTTTGTTTTTTTCTTGTAAATTTGTTTGTGTTCATTGTAGATTCTGGATATTAGCCATTTGTCAGATGAGTAGGTTGCGAAAATTTTCTCCCATTTTGTAGGTTGCCTGTTCACTCTGATGGTAGCTTCTTTTGCTGTGCAGAAGCTCTTTAGTTTAATTAGATCCCATTTGTCAATTTTGTCTTTTGTTGCCATTGCTTTTGGTGTTTTGGACATGAAGTCCTTGCCCATGCCTGTGTCCTGAATGGTAATGCCTAGGTTCTCTTCTAGGGTTTTTTTGGTTTTAAGGACCTGGTTATTTTCAAAGCTTCCAAGAAATGGAGTAAAATACTAATGCCCTTTAAGTGAACATATTAATAAATCAGGAAAGAGAGTTTGGTTATAAGAGCTGAAACTCTAGGCATCTGTGTCAGAACTCAGTATTTACTCTCCTAAAATGGATAGAAACCTACAAACTCACTGCCTACCCTCTCCCAGAGCACCATTCCCCATAGAAAACCCCATAGAAAAACACTAACATGCCTGGGTCTCAGGAGGATTCAAGCCACACTCAGATGATCTCCTAGACCCCATTTTACTTCCAACTGGCAGGAATCACAGGAATGGTGAATATCAATTCTGTTCTCAAGAACTTACCCCCAAACACTGAAATTGTATCTGCTAGCTGCCTCATTACTGGTTGTGAAAACATCACCAAAGATCTTGCACAGTTCAAGTAGCTGTGAGTCCTTCTCTTCAATAATTATTACTAATGATCTAATTGTTTTCCCTGGGCAGAAATAGCAAAGCTTCTGAAGACTTCAAAATCAACCACTACTCTCTTTAGCACAAACAGATCAATAAGCAGGTATCTTAAAAATCCAAAGCTTGATGAAATTATTATGTATTATGAAATTACACTGTAATTTTACCACTACATATTTTCCTCAGCACTCAGCATAGCATCCCCTCAAACTGGCTTCCAAACTTTGACGTGTGCATTCTAAGAGAAGTTTGGGGACTACCCTCACTCAGGGTGCACATACTCTGTCCCATCAAATAGCAAATAGACACAAAGTTACAGTATTCCAGTCATTATACTGCAGAAAATTATTTACAGAAGCAGCAAACCTTTCTTAGGAAAGTTATAAGCTAGGCTGCTGGCTCTTTCCTTTGAATCCAGCCTCGCTCACACCGTAGAAGCCAGAGCAATGTTGATGGATCTGTCAAGTTCATAATAAAAAATAACAGAGAACTCCTCAGGTAACTGAAGGTGATTTGGCCCACGTGTGGGGAGAAAACAGATGACAGCGTGGAGGGGGCTTTTCAGACATGACCTTTTCTTCCTCCTTCACATTGCTGAGGAAGGCCAATCCTACCTAGGTGCTTCAAGAAACAAACCCCTGCTGGCAGTGAGGCTCGGGGTTTTGAGGCTAGACAAGCAGTAGCAGAGGAGCACTGCCTGGGAGGGGGTCAAGCAGATGGCCAGGATTTCAGCATCTCCATCCTCCCTGTTCCCCAAGGGGTAGGTAATTACAATTGAGGGAGACTATATTTCTGGGAGCACAGATGATTCCCCCAGAGGCTCTTTTCCCTGCACCCTCCTACCACCTGAACCCACTGGGACCTGCACAAGTGAGGGCCTTGGCAGTATCCACTTCTCCAAAGACCCAAGACCAGCCTAAGTAGTAAATATGCCTAAGGAAATAAGAACTCATTTGGAAAATAAACAAGACTGCTTTGGAGGACAACTGTTAAAAAAGAACGGTAATAAATGGAATGGCTAAAACCTGATGAAGCATGGTTATTGAAGTAGACATACAAGGTGTTCAACACACATATCAAATATTCCCCAAAGATAAGGAAGGATGTTGGAAACATGACATAAAACATGAAGCCCTAAAAAGGAGTCAAATGGAAAATCAAAGAATGCAAAGTTTAATTATTTTAAGTTTCAGTAAATGCATTGAATGCCAAGTGGATTCAGCTGAAAAGCCAATTGGCGAGCCAGAAGATCTCAGAAATTCTCAGAGGACACCAGCAATAGTCAGAGAGAGGGAAAACTTAAAAGATAAATGAAACAATATGAAGAATAGCAATATGAAGATCAACATTCATATAAAAAGAATCCCAGAAGGAAGGAAAACAATCAATAGAAAAATGGAAGGAAACATATGAGAGAAAGATTGAGAACCGCCCAGAAAAAGGAAAAGGTATAAAACTTCCGACCAATGGGCTTAGTAGAGTGCAAAACAGGATAGAAAAAAAGGTGATGGGCATACCTCAATAGGTTGTAATAACATTTATGTAAAACAATGATAGAGAGAACATTCTAAGAGCAGGTCAATTATTAAAGGATGAGAACTAGATCGACCTCAGACTTCTCAATAGAACACATAATACAAGAGGCTATCAAGTAATATTTTCAAAATGTGGAACCAAGAATATTAAATAAAACCATTATTTAAATGGGACTATGAGACCTGGAAATACTTAAAAGATTTATCATGCACAAGCTTCTTGGGAATATTCTTAGAGGAAGTATTTCAAGAAGATGAAAAGTCTAGGAGGACAGTATGAGTGGTGTCACAGAGTATGCAAATAAAGCTTAGCAAATTTTTTACTGTTGATGACATACAGAACTTACAAATAGAACAAACAACAAAAATATATTTTAATAAAAATCTGGAACTAAAATATAGCCTCAAAATATATATATCAATTTATTGCTTCAGCGGTGGGATGGGGTAGAATGAGAGTGAGGTGAAAATACATTAAAGCACTTTTCTTCTTGTTTGCGAGGAAGATGTAGAAATTGAAAAGCTCAGCAAATTTATATGGAAAAACATAAATATGATCTTACAGATACAAAGGAAACTACCAGAAGACAAAAATATAATGTATAATTTTTAGACCAATAGAAGAAGATTTGATCCACCCAATGGAAAGTAGGAAAAGAGAAAAAAAATAAAATGTTTAAAAAGTAAGGGAGGATTCCTGGTCTGGGAAAAAAGGCATGGACCATTTCTCTCTGCTTCTTCCCACTAAATGCAATTCTAAATCCTGAAAATAATGCAAGAGCTAATCAAATGAGAACTCTGAAAGACCGTGAGAGGACAGAAATCTGCCTTGGGACTGCAGGACTAGAGAGAAAACATAGCTTCAGGGCTTCCTACATACCTACTTCATGAAAAAAGATGACCTAGACCTGGATTTCCTGACCTCCAACCAAGCAACCAAAGGCAGCTCAGCTAGGTTTATTCCTGCCCTGGATTTGGAGCCCTGCTAACAATAAGCAGCCAGGGGAGAGCTCTCCTTCCCTCCTGGCCTCCAACTCCCTTCCCCTCCCAGAGACACCTGGTTAGCCAGGAGCCCCTGGCAAGAGGGACCCTGCCACAACAGATGCCCAGCCTGGGAAGTGTTCTCCTCTCCCCTCCCTGCCCCACCAGGGGCAAGGGGAATTCTGCCACAGTAGGTACCCAGCCAGGGAAGTCTTCTTGTCCTCCAGAGTCTGAGACTTTACACCCGCACCAAGAGACATTCAGTTACCTGACCTGGGGGGAGGCCCCTTCTGCCTTCTGCCCCTTCAGCTAGCACCATCAGGGACCAGTGGAAGTTCTCCTAGAGCCAGATGAATCAAGCAGAAAAACAACAACAACAACAACAACAACAACAACAACAAAACAACCAACTCCAAAACAAAACTCGAAGGCAAACAAATGAAAGGAACCACACTGCAATGGCTTCAAAAATAAAAATTCCATTGGAACCACATATAGAAAAGTAGGACGGGACCTGCATGATAAAGCTAAACAGAATTCCCTCATAAAATAAAAAAATTAAATGGAACTCAACGTTTTTTAACATAATGACCCACATGCCCAAGATATAATTAGGAACCATTCATCATAACAAAAACCAAGGATATCACAGCTTGGATGAGGAAAGAGAATCAACCGATACCAGCGGGGAGATGAATCAGATGTTGGAATTATGTGACAAGAATTGTGTATGGTCATCATGAAAATGCTTCATTAAACTATTACAACAAATGAAAAAATTAGAAAAGGTCAGCAAAGATATAGAAATTTTTTTAAAAACCAAATGTAAATTATAGAACTAAAAATACAAAAACAGAAATAAAAATCTCACTGCATAGGCTCAATTGTAGAGTGAAGGTGATGGAGAATAGATTCAGTGAAATTGAGAACAGATTAATAGAATTTACCCAATCTGAACAAGAAACAATGGACTGAAAAAAATGAACAGAGCCTCTGGGCTCTGTGGGACATAGCAAAAGATCCACCATTTATATCACTGGATTCTAAAAGGAGAAAAGGAGAGTGAGGCTAAAGAATATTTGAAGAAACAATGGCTAAAAGCTCCCCAAATTTGGTGAAAGCCATAATCCTACAGATTCAAGAAGCTACACAAATCCCCAGGAGAATAAATAAAAATAAATCCACACTAAGACACATAAGAATTGAATTTCTGAAAACTAAAGACAAGGAAAAATCCTTGAGAACACCCAGAGAGATTTACTACCTATAGGGAAACAAAATTTCAATAACAGTGAATTTATCATCTGAAACTATGGAAGCCAGAAAGAAGTGGCACAATTATCAAATGATAATAGAAAAGAACTGTCAACCTACAATCCTACATCCAGCAAAATTATCCTTTAAGAATGAAAAGGAAATAAATATATTCCCAGATGAAGAAAACTACCGTGTATTTGTTGTTAGCAGATTAAAGATTAGCTAGATGAAATTCTCTGGGAGGTACAGAAAGGAATATAGAATAAAAAGAGTAGAAACACAGTAGAATATCCTTTACCTCATGTGTTTTATGTATTGTATTATGGTGATTGAGACAAAAATTTTAATGTCATCTGATACTTAAGACAATAGTATTTTATTTTATTTTATTTTTGAGATAGAGTCTCACTCTCACCCAGGCTGGAGTGCAGTGGCGTGATCTTGGTTCACCGCAACCTCCAATTCCCAGGTTCAAGTGATTCCCCTGTCTCAGCCTCCTGAGTAGCTGGAACTACAAGCATGTGCCACTGTGTCCAGCTAATTTTTGCATTTTTAGTAGAGATGGGGTTTCACCATATTGGTCAGGCTGGTCTCCAACTCCTGACCTCAGGTGATCCACCTGCCTCACCCTCCCAAAGTGCTGGGATTACACACGTGAGCCACCACACCAGGCAATAATATTTTAAAGTGCAGAAGGTAGAGATTGAAATGGAAGGGAGGTTTATTTGCATACTTAAAGTAGTAAAATATTGGTGCCAGTTGATGGTGATGCCACCAGCATATTGTAATACACAGAGCAATTATTATGCAAAATATACAAAGAGATATAATCCAACATATTATAAATAAATTGAGATGAAACCCTAAAAATAGGTCCATAAAAATATGCTCAAATGATTTTTGGCGAAGGTATAAAAGTAATTCAGTGAAGGAACAATAGAATTTTTAACAAATGGAGCTGGAGCTATTGAACATTCATAGGGAAAAAGATGAACTCAAACTAAGTCTCATACTTCATGCAAAAATTAACTTAAAATGGATCAAGGACCTAATTGTAAAATATAAAACTATAAAACTTTTAGGAAAAAAAAAGGAGTCAGTCTTTGAGACCTAAGGCAAGGCAAAGATTTCCAAGACTCGACATTAGAAGCACAATCAAGTAAAAGGAAACATTGATAAACTGAACCTCTTTGAAGTAAAACCTTTTGCTCTGTAAAGATTCATGTGAAGAAGATGAAAAGACAAACTAGTGACTGGGAGACATGTTTGTAACCATATATATCTGACAAAGTATTAGTATGTACAATGTACAAAGTCTCAAAACCCAACACTAAAAAATATTGAGTAGAAAAGAAGCAAAAGACATAAAATACACCTCACTGAAGAGGCTATATGGATGGCAAAGAAGCACGTGAAAAGATAGTCAACATCATTAGAAATGAGGGTAATGGAAATTGAAGCTGCAATGAGATAACATTACACACCTCTCAGAATGGCAAAAACAAAAAAAAATTATAACACCAAATATTGGTGAGGATGCAGAGAAACAAGATCACTCATGCATTTTTGATAAGAATGCAAATGGTTGGCCACTCTGAAAAACAGTTTGGCAGTTTCTTATAAAACTAAACATGTAACTATGATACAACCCAGCAATTGTGCTGTTGGACAATCATTTCAGAAAAATGAAAATTTAATTTCACACAAACACCTATGCACAGATGTTCATAGCATCTTTTATTCATAATATCCCCACACTAGGAGTATCCGAGATGTCTTTCTGTGGGTGAATGGTTAAACACACTGTGGTACATACCTAGCATGGAATACTACTCAGCAGTTGAAAAGGAATAAACAATTGATACACGAATCTCCAGGGAATTATGCTGAGCACACACACACACACACACACACACACACACACACACACACACAAAAGCCAATCCCTTAAGGTATCTACTTTATGATTCTGTTTATACAACGTTTTTGAAATGACAACATTTTAAAAAGTAGTAACAGACTTAGTGGTCTCCAGGGACTAGAGAGGGGGAGGCATGGGACGTAGGCAGGTGTGGTTATAAAAGAGAACATGGAGATTCATGTGATAATTGAATTGTTCTGTATCTTGAATGTGGTAAGGGGTACCTGAACTTACATAAGTGATAAAATCACATAAAACTATGAAAACACACACACAAGGGGAACTCTGACGAAGATCAGTGGATTTTATCAATGTCAATACTCTGGCATGATATTGCACTACTGTTTTGCAAAGTGTTACCATTATGAAGAACTGGGTAAAGGTACATGAGATCTCTCTATACTCTTTCTTACAATTGTATGTGAATTTAATAAAAAGAAAAAGAAAAATAGAAAAAAAGAAGGGAATTTTTTTAATTGAAAGACTTGGCTAAAATCAATGAGAAAACACCAATAATTACACAGTAATGAGAGTACATGGGTTAAAACCAGCAATCCAAAGATAAAATCTTAGAATGGGTTTTATACAATTCAGCAAATGTTTTATGTTGGAGTCATTTTAAAAATATGCAAATAAACTGAAAACATAGAATGGTAAAAAGATAAGCTGGGTAAATTTGAATTAAAAGAGTGTTGGAATAACAATTTTAGTATCAGACAATTTAGGCTTTAAGGCTAAAATATCATCAACAATGAAAATTGTCACATACAGAAAAGAAGCAGTTAGAAAATTTAATGATTGGAACCCCTAGGTATCTAACATCATAATCTGAGACTCATAAAACAACCAATAAAACTATGGGAGGAAATAGAAGAATCAAGAATTATAGTTGGAAATTTAAAACACTCATTTCAGAAACTCATAGATGAAGCAAACAACAAGAAAAACAAATATATAAAGATTTTAATAACATAATATGCCTTCACTTTCCATTCAGTGAACACAATGCTCATTCTTTTTGGACATATATGGAAAATTTACAAAAATCAATGAAGTACTAGGTGATAGGAGAACCCTCAGATAATTTTATAGAGTTAATTCTCAACCAGTATGCAATAAAATTAGATATTAATCTAACAAAAAGGGAGGTGAAAAAAATTTATTCTATTTAGAAACGAAAAAACATATCACTATACAGCCCTTGAATTAACAAGGGAACCATTAGGAAAGATAATGAAAAGGCTGTCTGTCAAATCTGCTGGACAACAATGCTGTAAATTCTAAAAATATATATAATGCAATTACAGAAAAATATTTCAAATTGATAGATTTTGTGATAGGCCCACAAGTGTTTGTTAAATTATTTTCCATATTTTTCTGTATATTTAAAATATTTAATAATTAAAAATTTAAATAAACATATATTGGACATGGTTAAAATATTACTCAGACAAAAATTAAGAGCTTTAAATATGCTTATTATAACATTAAAATTTCAAAAGAGGAAAATATGAAAAAGAAAACAAATGAGTTAAGTGTTTACAGAAGCTAATAAAAAGTAAGATAATAAATCCAAAGAAATGGGGAAAATGGAAATATAAGATAAGAACAAATCAATGAAATAGTGAACAAAGATCAATATGAAGATTAACAAAGGAAAAATTAGTTCTTTGAAAGGAGTAATAAGATAGCAAACCTTTGATAAGACTGAATAAGATAAATCAGAAAAAGAATAAGTAAAACACATACTGAAAAGGAGATCTACGAACAAGTAATTTTTTAAATACTTTTTAAAAATATGAACAAACATGTAACAATACATTTGAAATTCATTAAAAAAGGATTAATTTATATAAAGGATATAAAATATTAAAATGGCAGAAGAATAAATGGAAAACTTGAATAGAATGTAAAAGTTAAAGATACTGAAGTGGTAATAAAATGTCTCCTTCAACAAAACCCTTGGGAAAATGATAGGGAACCCGAGAAAGAAGCAAATAGGCAATGAATATGAAAAGATAATTCACAGAATAGTGGAGAAATACAACTTCAAACGAGATCCCACCTTTTACCTATTAGATTGGCTAAAATTAGGAAAATGAAAAATACCAAAGTGCCCCCAACTGAGGACTGTTGTTTCTAGTATGGACCAGACCCCATTCCTGCACTCCTGCTCCAGTGCATCGCTCAGAAAATCTATTCCCTCCCTCCCTCGCTCCATCTCTCCCTCCCTCCCTCCCTGCCTCCCTCCCTCCCTCCCTTCCTTCCTTCCTTCCTTCTTTCCTTCCTTCCTTCTTCCCTTCCTTCCATCCTTCTTCCTTTCCTTCCTTCCTTCCTTCCTTCTTCCCTTCCTTCCATCCTTCTTCTCTTCTTTCCTTCCTTCCTTCCCTCTCTCCCTCCCTCACTCCCTCCCTCCATCCTTCCTTCCTTCCTTCCCTCTCTCCCTCCCTCCCTCCCTCCTCCCTTCCTCCTTTCCTCCTTTTCTTATTATATTTTCTTTCTCTTTTTGTTATTTTATATTGGCATAGACATAAAATACATACATCATGAATGTACTGCTTGATGATTTTTCACTCATGGAATCCTCACCATCAAGAAATAAAATACTTCTTGTACACAAGAAGTCCCATTATGCCTCTCACATTATGAGCCACCATGCCTAGCCTATTTTACTTTTATTTTTGAAGAAAATTCAAATAATTGCATAGTTCTAGATTGCCAGTTAATTTCTTTCAGCATTTTAAAGATGTTTTATTGTCTCCTAGCTTTCACCACTTCTGTCATCCATATTTTTGTTCCTTTGAAGTTAATGTGCCTTTCTTTTCTCTCACTGCTTTTAAGAGTTTTGTTCTGTCTTTGATTTTAGAAGTTTCATTATGATGGGCCTAGGTATGTGTTTTCTTTGATCTTTTCCTATTTTGAGTTGTAGTGTTTCCTAAATGTGTGGTTTGATGTTCTTTGTCAATACATGATATTCTTAGCTGATAATCTCTTCTAATATTACTTCTGCCTAATTCCTTCTTTATCCTTCCGATCTCATCATTTATGGACATGGGCTTTGAGAGAATGTTAATTAATATGTCCAAAAAAATAGGGAACATGATGGAGAATTTTGACAGAGAACTGGAATATATAAAAGAAAATCAAATTAAAAGTATCTGAAACTTAGAACACAATAGTGGATTGAACAGCAGATTCGAGACAGTAGAAGGAAGGGTTATTAAATGGAAGATAGGTCTGTAGAAAATATCTAGCATGAAGCTGTCTGGATGGGAGAAAATATATATTTTCATTGAAAATTCCTGATTTTGGTTTTCCAAAAAAAAGTCAAAATTTTGTCAACATTGAATTTACATTCCTCATAGTTTCAGTGTGCCTGAGCTGATGAGTTGTTGATGTGCTCCATATACAGGGATATGTACTCCCAACTAGCCACAGTCACTCCTTTCTATTATCTTCTACCACTGAGGCTGAATATTAGTTGTCATGGTTTATATCATCCCTTCCCTGCTCCACACATTTACATTGCGTGCTGGGCATGCTATATATTTGAGTTCATGATCCATGTTGAAGATGCCATAAAGACCCAAAAATGTGAAAGAGACTTGGAACCGGGTAACAGGCAGAGGTTGGAACTGTTTGGAGGGCTCAGAAGAAGACAGGAAGATGTGGGAAAGTTTGTAACTTCCTAGAGACTTGTTGAATGGCTTTGACCAAAATGCTGATAGTGATATGGATAATGAAGTCCAGGCTGAGGTGGTATCAGATGGAGATGAGGAACTTGTTGGGAACTGGAGCAAAGGGGACTCTTGTTATGTTTTAGCAAAGAGATGGGCAGCATTTTGCCCCAGCCCTAGAGATCTCGGGAACTTTGAACTTGAGAGAGGTGATTTAGGGTATCTAGTGGAAGAAATGTCTAAGCAGCAAAGCATTCAAGACGAGACTTGGGTGCTCTTAAAGCAGTGCATTTTTATGCATTCATGAAGAGATGATGTGTAATTGGAACTTATGTTTAAAAGGGAAGCAGGGCATAAAATTTTAGAAAATTCACAGCCTGATGATACAGTAGAAAAGAAAATTCCATTTTCTGAGGAGAAATTCAAGCTGGCTGCAGAAATTTGCATAAGTAACAAGCAACCAAATGTTAATCCCCAAGACAATGGAGAAAATGTCTCTAGGGCATGTCAGAGGTCTTCATGGCAGCCCCTCCCATTACAGGCCTGGAGACCTAGGAGGAAAATATGGTTTTGTAGGCTGTGCCCAGGGCCTTGCAGCTTTGTGCAGTCTCAGGACTTGGTGCCCTCTGTCCCACACATGGCTAAAAGGGGCCAACGTACAGCTCAGCCTGTTGCTTCAGAGGGTCCAAGCCCCAAGCCTTGGAGGCTTACATGTGGTGTTGGACCTGTGAGTGCACAGAAGTCAAGAATTGAGGTTTGGGAACCTCTGCCTAGATTTCAGAGGATGTATGGAAACGCCTGGATTTCCAGGCAGAAGTTTGCTGCAGGGGTGGAGCACTCATGGAGAACCTCTGCTAGAGCAGTGTGGAAGGGAAATGTGGGGTCAGAGCCCCCACACTGAGTCCCCACTGGGGCACTGCCTAGTGGAGCTGTGAGAAGAGGGCCACCAACCTTCAGACCCCAGAATGGTAGATCCACTGATAGCTTGCACCATGCACCTGGAAAAGCTGCAGACACTCAGTGCTAGCCCGTGAAAGCAGCCAGGAGGGGGACTGTACCCTGCAAAGCCATAGGGGTGGAGCTGTCCAAGACCATAGGAACCCATCTCTTGCATCAGCATGACCTGGTTCTGAGACATGGAGTCAAAGGAGATCATTTCAGATCTTTAAGATTTGACTGCCCAGCTGGAATTTGGAGTTGCGTGGGGCCTGTAGCCCCTTTGTTTTGGCCAGTTTCTCCCATTTGGGATGGAGCATTTATCCAATGCCTGTACCCCTAATGTATCTTGGAAGTAACTAACTTGCTTTTGATTTTACAGGCTCCTAGGTGGAAGAGACTTACTTTGTCTCAGATTAGATTTTGGACTTGGAATTTTGGGCTAATGCTGGAATGGATTAAAACTTTGGGGTACTGTTGGAAAAGCATGATTGGTTTTGAAATTTGAAAGGGACTTGAGATTTGAGAGGGGCTGGGGTGAAATGATATGGTTAGGCTTTGTGTCCCCACCCAAATTTCATCTTGAATTGTAATCCCCATAATCCCCAAATGTTAAGGGAGAGACCAGGTGTAGGTAATTGAATCATGGGGGCAGTTTCCCCAGTGCTGTTCCCAGGATAGTGAGTTCTCATGAGATCTGGTGGCTTTATAAAGGGCTCTTTCCCCCTGCGTTCTGCACTTCTCCTTCCTGCCACCATGTGAAGAAGGTGCCTTGCTTCCCCTTCACCTTCTGCCATGATTGTCAGTTTCTTGAGGCCTCCCCAGCCACACTGAACTGTGAGTCAATTAAACCTCTTTCCTTTGTAAATTAACGAGTCTTGGGCAGTTCTTTTTAGCAGAATGAAAACAGACTAATACAATAGAGTCTAGCAATAGAGTGGAGAACAACATAGTTACAAGCTCTGCCCTCAGGGAAAAGAAAACAATAATCACATAAATAATTAGAATTGTCATAAATACTCTGAAATAAAAGTAAAAAATGCTAAGAGATCCATCATATTTTCCAGTTGGAAGGCAGGGAATGTTTCTCCCAAAAAGGTTATTTAAGCCGAGTTCTGAAGATAATATGATTTAGTCAGATGAAGGCCTGGTTATATGTGTGTTGATGGAGAATGGACAGAGAGAGTTGATCTAGCCTGGAAGAGTTGGACAGGTCTGAGGATTCAAAGCAAGTCAGTAGGGCTGGTAACACATATATGAGCAGAAACTGTGTTGTATTGGGCTGCTGAGTCTGGAAAAATACATAGGATTTTGGATGCCTTTGCAGACCAAGCAGCTAAGGACCAGCACATTTCATGGTGACTTGATGGTGTGCAAATTTGGTCCCTCTGATGAATCTTCTAGTTGAAATAATTTATCACTGTGAAATTAAGTCATCAAGTATAAGATGACCAGCTGACTTTTAGCCAGGTAGACAAGCTATCGACTTGGTATGATGAAACATCACTGAGTTCATTTTTATGCCTTTGTTTCCTCTCTGTCTCAGCTGCAAGTGTCCACTGCTTGGGAAAGTGTGGGAAGCTGACTTGGAAGCTTGTCGATTGCTTATCCAGAGCCTACAGCTCCAGGAAGCCAGGGGAAGCCTGTCTGTAGAAGATGAGAGGCAGATGGATGACTTAGAGGGAGCTGCTCCTCCTATTCCCCCCAGGCTCCACTCCGAGGATAAAAGGAAGACCCCTTTGAAGGTATTGGAAGAATGGAAGACTCACCTCATCCCCTCTCTGCACTGTGCTGGAGGTGAACAGAAAGAGGTCTGTCCTTTTCACATGGCCTCCAGAGGGGACCCTTATTCTAAGGGGTGCTTTGGGACCATGCTCCAAATGGGAACAATAAATATTGGGAAGGCTTCCCATTGAGCATATAAACTTTTAAAAGTTTCAATAACTCTTGAATATGATTACAAAATAAAGTAGAATTTTTGTAGAAGTTTGAAATATAGAAGAGCAAAAAAACCCAACTTTTGGCATATTTAGTTCCATTTTCATTCTAATTTAGTGGCTAGAATTAGAATATGCAGTCTAATATAGAATTACCATATATAGCATACATTATATATGTCATATATAATATAGTTATTATATTCACTATAGATTATATATGCCATACATGATATTTAACATATATACTATACATTATGTATTGTATGTCATATATGATGTTTATATATTTAGAATCTATATATTACAATATATTATTATTTATTTGAATGAAACATTCAAATATATGTATTTATCCCATTAATTGTTTTTACCAAAACCAGATCATAATGAATGTTTATAATGTTCTTCTTTCATAAACACAACTAAAGTTTGGCCTGAGATATATGTATTACAAATTAAAATATGGTTTTATTTAACTTTCTTTTTCTCTCCCCTCTTTCCTCTCTCCCTTCCCCTTCCACTCCTCACTTTCCTCCTCCCACCCTAACAAGAGTCTTTTCCATAAAAAGGCCCTAGGAAGTTTTTCCTGATTTCAGTGCCATGACCTGAGTCTTCAGAGCTCTTTGTTGGCCCAGGTTCACAGGTGTTGTGAGTGTGGAAAGGAAATAGCATGGAGAGGCTGGAGGAACTTGACACATGGCTTTCAAGTCTCATGGTTGATGTTAGATGTTAGCTGTGCTTCCTCCCTGGGTCTTTGCCAGGACTCACCACTGGTGGGTGGGGAAATTGCCACCTCCCCAGGCCAGCCCTGCCAGTCTCACATCCCATCTGCAGGACCATGGCCTTCAGAGAGCAGACATTTGTGTTCTTAGTCACTGCCTCTGGACTGCTTAGAAAATCGATCCTTGATCCTATATTTGGATTCCATGGTCTTATAAGAAAGCAACCACTGTCACTCTGCATCCTTGCTGGCCCAGTCACAGGCTCTACGTTAATTTATAGACATCTGAACTCGTTTGTTAACCCAGGTGCTACAGGTGGAATCCTCCAGCAAAGCCTGGTCTCCAATGCTCTGGGTAGAGGTGTTGAAAAGTTACCACCTGCTGCAAGTGGATGGCTTGAAAGAATATTCTGGGGTGGAGGGAAGTGCCACCTAAGCAAGGGTTTATTCCTGGGTGGAAGAAACTGCAGGCTCTGGGAATGAGTCTTTGAAGGTGTGTCTGGCTTTCCAAAGTGAGCTACCAGGAGGAGCTCGGTGTGGGGCAGTCAGAAGCCATGCCAGGTATGTGATGGAGTCCCTGGGTCATTGATTCTGCTGGAGGCCAGGACTGATTCAGCAGAGATCCCTTTCTCCTGTAGCGGAGAAAAATGAATATCTTTCCTTTACCCATCTAAAGGTTCTCAGCTGAGGCACCTATACAGACAGAGTAACAAGAGAAAAATGTACAAATGTGCTTAATATAAAATTTACATGACACAGGAGCCTGCAAAAATGAAGACCCAAAGCAACAGAAACCAGTGTATTTTTATGCTTAAGTTTGAAGAATAGCAGACAGATGTGGAGAAGTATAATTGGACAAAAGGAGTATGATTTAATGGCAATAAACTGGGGGGAGCTTAGCAAGGCCTGTTTGCTCGGATTCTTCGCTGCATCCCTGTGTCTTCAGAGATAAGGATACTCCTTTCCTTTGGGTATAGGTTGTACACTTTAAAGATGAGGGTGTTATAATCTACTTTAGAGGAAGGTCAGATAATTATTTATGGCCTGCTTCAGGAAAGAATGGCTGCAGAAGGTCAGAGAGACTTTCCTGCTTCTGCTGTTCCTCAAATGCCAAGGTGCCATATTTTGGGGTAGTGTATTCTGAACCCCATCACTCTCTCCCTCCCTTTCTCCCTCCTTCTCTGCCCTGCCCACTGAGCCCTGAGCCCTCCAGGTTCTCTGGGGACAGACTTTCCCAGGCATAGGAGGATTCGTTTTCCTGCATAGCATTATAAGCACCTGTCAATTTCACTATCTGGCTATAAGAACACAGAGCTATATTTGTTGAAAAATAGGAAGCTTGGGGTCAAGGATGAAAAAAGAGTGGAGCCTTATCCTAGGTCCTGTGGTGGCTGCTGTTTGGGTGCTCCAGGGGTCCCCCAGAAAGCCTCCCAGATCCTCTCCACCAATTGAAATGCTGAGGATGTCCTACATTTATTTGTTGCTTTCTTGGGGGTGAGTGGGTGCTTTAGAGGGGACCTTACAGCTTTTGCTGGCTTTCAGTATCATTTCCCTGTTCCTGTATCGCAGTGCTGGATTTATTTTCACAGAGAGGGCAGCCGTTCTCTGAATTCATGAGTGCCATGGATTTTAAGACAATGTTTTCTGAGAACGGCAAAATTATGGGGCCAGAAAACAGATAAATTGTTGCCAGGAAAGGGGAAGGGACTCATTACAAGAGCAACAGGAAGGAATTTGGTGCGTGGAAGTTGGGGGCGGTTGATAGAAGTATTCTCTCTCTTGATTGTGGTGGTAGTTACGTGACTGTGTGTATGTCTAAATCCATAATTTTACATCAGAAAGAGTGAATTTTACTGTGTATGACTTTATAACAATTATTTTAAAAAGTTTTTTTAAATGTCTACCTATTTAAAAACCGGGCTATAGATGTTTGAGTCAGTGCTTTTGTCTCAGGGCTATCAAAACGCAGTGTGGCCTGCTGGAAAGAGCACAAGGCTTGAGTCTGAGTCTGCCGTGATCCTCAGTTAGGCCTCTTACAGGCCGCATCTCCACATCTGTTAAGAAAAACACCACCACGACATAAGAGGATAATGAAAACTATCTCATGAAGCTGTGATGAAGATTTAAATAAAAGGATGCATCACGAAGTGAGAGACGCATACCTAGTAGAGGCTAATTTGTGTTAACTTTTGTTTCTATCACTCTTTCTGGCAGTCACAAGCATCTCTAAAATGCTTTTTGCATGCATAATGCTAGCAACAGCTATTTGTTTGTATGACTCAGTCTCCAGGCTTAACTTTCCCTTTTGCATAAGGAGTTTGGGGGTGCTTGAGATTGTTACATTTTCCTTTACATGTATAATATACTCACTTTTTGTCAAGAAGTAGACATGAGCAATGAGTTAGTGGAAGATACCCAGTCAGAGAAAGGTTTAACGAAGGAAAACTCCCGTTTGTATTCGGGTCCAGGATTTTAGACTACAGAAGGTATGGGGAAATGATAACAAGGGCCTCATTAGGAAGGTGCTTTTGTTTTCCTGCCTGTGTTTTCCGGGAGCCATTGAAGTCTGGGTACTTTGCATTTATCCTGTGGCTAAAATGTCTATTCGCTTTGCAGCTCTGGGTTGGTTTTGCTTTAGAACTCCGTGCTGGGTCTGACCATCCTATACTGGTTTCTCTACTGAAGCTTGATGCCCTGAAGGCAGTCAATTTCTTTTTGACCCAAATCTTCCATGAAAAATTACTGACTTCTTATAGAGGTCCACAGGAAGATGAGTTTTCAAAGCCTTTCCCGTGCTTATCTGGCCAACGTGGTGATGTGCATTCTGGTGATACTTTGTTATCACAAGGGCTTTGTCGTTGATCGACACCTTCCTGGGTCTACGGTCCTTGCCAGGCTGCTGAGCACCATTCCCCCATTTTACAGCTGGGCCCATTAAGGTGAAGCAATTTGCTTTGGACTTTGTTACAGAGGAAGTCAGCAACAGGGCTCAGTGCCAATCTTAGCATGAACTTCCTCGAATTGTAAGAGCCCTTTTCTTTTCCAGTTTCATGACAGCTCTCCTCCAAGCCTTTCTGAGGACTCTGGAAACTATCAGCTGCTGTTGGCCCTGGTTCGTAGATGTTACAGAAATTGAATGGGGGCCAGACAGGAGCCAGGGAAATCAGTGAGCCAGGCTTCCTCCGCTGTGAAGTGGCTCTTTTGTACGGGCTGTTCTGGCCATAATACCTGCGTAATTTTTTTCTTTCCTGTCTGCAACCTAGCCTGCGGGGTGCTTTCTGTTTCCATTGCTTTTTCTACATAATGGGCTCCCTGGACAGTACCACTCTCCCAGACTTCTCATCCCAGCTGCTTCCTTTCTGAGCCAGTAGCTCTCACCAAAGAGGCCAAAAGAGGACCTGGCAATGTTGAGTCATTGCGTGCAGTATGTGAGTAGCCAGTGTGTGAACACAGCTGCAGTGAACGGAATTAGCAATAAGACACAACGCAACCAGGTAGCCTCATTTGTTCAGATTGAGGTCTTCAAAAAGCATTTTAAGTTTACGGGTGGAAAGGTGTGATACCTTTCCTCAGCCATCATTAAGGGCTAACACTCCTATAACAAAAACAAGTTAACGAGAAAAACATAACACATTTATTTAATCAGAGTTTTACATGGCACAGGAGGCTTCAGAAATGAAGACCCAAAGACCCAGGAAAAACTATTTTTATGCTCAGATTTAATGCAGAATAGTCAGCTATGAAGGAATGTGATTGGACAAAATGGGTATGATCTAATGGTTATAGACTGGGGGGTGAGCGGACCAGCAAGCCCTGTCTGTTCAGATTCTTCTTGGACGCTCTGCATAGTATTTATTCCTCTTGGGTATGGGGCCGGACTCCTCTAAATGGAGGGCCTTCAAGGGAGAAGGAAGAGAGTGACCTTTCTAGGTTTTATGTTTGCTTTGAGGGAGAGGAGTCCTAGTTTCTAAGACTGGCTTTGAGGAAGAGGAATTCTGGTTTCTATGGCTTGCATCCAGGGAGAAAAAGGAGTGTGAGAGGGGAGGGCAAGAGAAGGCAGAGAGATCTTGCTTCTGAGGCCTTCCAATCTCCTTTGGTTCAAAGTACTCAGGCATACCAAAGTGTCACACTTAGGGGTATCATACTGTGAGCCACAACATAAATATCTCCATTCCTTTTTACTCAATTTCACATAAAAAAAGCTGGAAAAGGTGATCCACAATGAAGATGTTTGTCCTCCTTGTCTTAAACTGATTTCTATATCTAGAAATGTCTTTATTGGGCAAAAGTGCTTCCTCTTCAGCCATAATGGGTGCAGATCTGATTCTTTCTCTTCTCTGACACTTACTGGCCCTGGGACAGCTGGAAACTCACTTTGACTCTCCAAGGAGCACATCCCTAAATGTGTGATCTCTTGATATCTCTCCCACTTTTGAAAAGAACTGACAAGGGAAAAATGTTCACTTACCCATCAGCTGGTTTTGCTCTTTTTGTTTAATGTCTTTGGGGAGAAAGCAAAGAGCTAGGACATGAAGAAAACTTCTATCTCCACTACATTTTGAAGTTTTGCAAACCCAGCCATCTTTCCCAAGAGCAGAGCAGTAGAAGCAACCAGGATGCAACCAGGGTTGGTAATTGGTTGGTTAATTAAAAAGTCAGAAAAGACAGAGAGTCATAAAAGATGATGCATGCGTATTTTAAACCTTTTTGTTTCTAGCTGAAAACATGCCCTCTCATTTGCTATTCATTCGATATAGGACCAAGTATTTCTGTTTGTAGAGCCTGCTGATTGGCTTTTCACATGACCCTCGTTGTGTAAACCTCACCTATCATGCATCATTAACAGTTTCCACTTTTGGTGTCTTTAAAGTGGGCTGGAAACGTTAAGAGCACTTGCAAAACAATTCTCAGCCTCCCCCTCTCTCTTAAATGTTATTGAATCTTTCCAAGGTTTCCAGCTTGCTTTTTATGGAAACAAGCACTTGTTTTCACATTAATATTTCATCGCTCTACATAGTATTTATTTAGATTGTATAATTAGGATATTTAAATATAACTGGCCTACAGAAGTGAAGAAACAAATGCAACTTGACCAATAGAAACAGAACTGCGCAGGCTTACCAGGACCCTGCCCCTGGCCTGGCCCTGGCCACTGAATTTGAGAGAGAAAGCAGAGTCCAGGGACAAGCTGGCAGGTGGCTAAGAGAGGTGTTTCTTCTGTTCAGTGAGCTGGCTCCTGCTTGTTCTCTCAGTTAATTACTGTCATCAGCTTGTCAGCCTCCTTCACCTGCCCAAGGGAAGGAAGGGGACTCCTCTGATCTGCTGGCTTCTCCTTCTTTCGGAATATGGTGGAACCTTGCTCCATGCTCCAGGGCCTCACGGTGGCCCTTTTTCCACTAATTAAAAATAGTTCAGCGCTTCTGAGGAAAACAACCTCAGGGCTCTTGGTGACGCCGTTCACCTTGGAAATTCCTTGTCATTCACTGGTGCAGTCTGAGGGATCGATAGCAGGATGGCGTCTGCCTGAATGGCAAGGACTCATTTTCTGCGTTTGTAACAGAGGAGGTGTTATCCAATGAATCCTCAGTGGTGTCCTGGGAGTAGCTGAGAATTTTTGTAATGTGGAAAATCAGATAGCACCCTGCCCCCTCATCACAGCTACAGTGCATTTGATTTCCCCACCACTGGGCAGCCAGGGCAGTTAAAGTCAAGAGCTTCCACTCCCCAGGAGCTTCCGGTCCCCCCATAAGCTGGTCGTGAGCTATTCCTGCCCTTCCTAACTAGGAGCAGGCAGGAGATGAACACTGGAGTTCCATGAAGCTCCTGTGTGAAATTATCTTACCTCTACCCAAGACTTACTGCACTGCCTTTTTCAGTGAATCGTTTAATGCCTTCCATTCTGAATATGCTGGTGTTTCTGCTTTGCCAGCCATTGGTCATTCCACACCCCCTCCTCCACCCGGCCCCCAGGTATTTCCTGGAACCATTGATTATGGCAGAGCAGATCTTATTTTGCTCATATGATTAGGAACCTCAGGCCAACAAGCTTGGGTAATAGTGAGAGAAAAGAAGAGTGGTCCTTTGCTCTTCTTTGTCTGAGTGCCTTTTGAGGGAAAGAGTAGATACCACCAACCATAGCATCTCTATCTCTTTCCAGCAAACTACAGGGGTGCCTGAGACTTTAGGGTGGGAAGCAAGCTCTCACTTGGAAGGGGTGACATCCAGAACCAGGATTAAACGCTGACATTTAAAAACAGTAACTATGGTAGTCTTAATAGTTGCACAGTTTACAGTGAAACACTTAGAGTTCAAATTTGTTTTACTATAAAGTGAACATGGATGGAGTTTGGGATTTGATTCTGTCTTCATAGTTTCCCTTTACAGTTCAATATTTCTTAGCTCAAAGAACACATTCCCTTAAAAGGAATCCCTCAAACCACTTTTCATTTTTATTTTCTTATACAAAAGGGCCTTAGGGTTGGATGTCCCTATCCCCAGAATCTGAATCCTTTTATTAAAGGGACTGTATCTAGGTACTAGCCGGTGCCATGAATCTCATTTTGGATTCAAATGGATTATTTTCTCAGAGGGTTCTAATGAAGTCTGGTTTTATTCAGATTTGACTATCAAACTCAGTGTGCTTAAAGAAAAGCAGTTCACATCCTCTTGCATGATCGTGTAATATAAACTGTAGCTTTTCAAAGGTTGCCCTTCAAGTAAACTAGAAACCACAGGCCAATTAACATATGCCAATTAGCAAGCAATTTCTTCTTCTAACAATTTGTTTGGTTCTGTTAATTACTTTTATTTAGAGCTTGTTTCTCCGAGCCACCTTCAAAACAAGCATGCAGATACTTGAAGACAATTCATTGCTTGCTCTGACCTAAAGAGATCTAAATATTTCAGATGCTTTCTTTACCACTGACGACATCTGGATGCTTTTAAAAGAAATACGCAGTTACTCAGGGAGTAACCGTATAATTTGAATATGTGGATGAATACTCGTATCAGATAGAGTAATAAAGATATACCCTTAATGTCTCAATTTTGCCTCTCTGCTTATTGGCATTTACACGACTGTAGAACTCGGCATTTATATGAAAAGACAAACACCATAAAATCTATGTCAAATACATGTGAAATATATTCTTTGTGTTGTGGGCAGGCATTTGTTTGAAGTAAATATTCTTTTTGTAGATAATATTTTAAAAAGAAAGACAAAACCATATCGCATTCCTGAAATGTATTTACCAAGCATGTATTTTGGAAAACAGCCCAAAGGAACATATTTAAGGCAGTGATTTTAATACTAAACTAAGGAAATAGTTTGATGCATCAGCTAAGCTCATGGATGGGGGTAATCACATCTGGTTTACCTCAAGCCAGAGGAGAAGGAGTGAGACTTGACAATGTAACAACCATTATGAGGCTCAAGTAGCGTTTTTGGCTTGTAAGCATGTATGTGTGCTGTGTTCAATTTTATGTTTTAAATTTTTTTAAAAAACTTAAATACTGCTATAGCCCCAAAATATGTAAAATATGTAAACAGTTGGCTTGATGGCCATAAGGGAACACCTGTCCTTTTTTTTTTTTTTTTTTTTACTGTGTAGCCTGTGACTTTCACTGCAGGAATTAAATATTTTTGTGGATAGGCAAATGTACTTTTGTGGATAGGTATTGCTGATGCCTTATTACACAGCCGAAGGAAATAAGGATCTGGGTAAGCAGTTGAGTCACGGCAAAGAGTACCGTATCCAAGGTGGAGGTTCATGCTAGAGCTACAGGTACTAACCCCTCCCCTGCACCACTGATCCCTAGCAAGGGTGGAAGTAACTGATGACTTCTCTGCACAGCCCCCAGCACAATGTCTGAAAGAGAGACCTAAAGGGTAACTGCCTGTTTTCTCAGATTAATCTTAGAATCCTAGCAGTACTTGTTACTTCAGTTTGGAGATTTTTCTTATTCTATTTCTTCACACTCTTACAGACTTCACATAGCCCCTCCCTTTAGAATAACTCTTGACAGCATTTTAAGAAATAGACTATTTAAATCATCTTGATCCAGTGACTCAACCCAAGGTGTAACCCGTCTGCTCAAATTTGTGGCAAATCTCCATTGATGATAACATTTCTGCAAATGTATGCTCTGTTAGGTGTGGAAGCTTTTCCTAAGTAGAATTGGCAGCCACAGTAGTACCTGCCTACCTAGCAATTTAACTTAAACAGTTTCCTTTTCCAAAGGTATTTTCTATTCAGAATAGAAATAATAAATATGATTTCCTCATCACTCTAGATACAGCCTGATGAGATATTGTTACCAGATACTTTCTCTTATCAAAACAACCATTATTATTTCATAATATATTCCCTACCCTTTGAATATAAGCTCCAGTTCTAAAATTTTAAATGTTGGTATCTTCCACATGTCATAGGGAAAGACTTAAGCCTTGTTTATGGGAACTATAACTGAGTAAAAATGTCCTTGGAGACCCTGGTCATGGAATTTGTGACTGTTCTTCTACTGGGGCATGTGGTTTAGACATCTGCTCAGGCTAGCAACTGAATGCTTTTCTGGGTATACACTTTTATAGAAAAATGTTTTTTGAAAGTCACTTTAATGGGAAAATCCTGCCCAACAAAGGAAATCCTATTTTCTGTTTTTAAATCATGCTCCCTGAGTTGGGTGAGCAGGACAGAAATTTGACATCAGCTCTAATTCAACACAGCTGAAAATTTCTGCCCAAACATTCAGGCCTACGGGTTTTGATCATGAGGTGAGTTAAGCAAATTATATTTGAAATATTGCCTGGCTGAGTCGGTGCTACTGAATCATACCCGTGTGGAGGGACAGCAGGGAAGATGGTAGGGCTTTATTGGAGGCCAATAAAAGCCATGTGTGTACAGCAGTACTGTGGAGAGCCCCAGGACCCCATGGCTGTCCCTGTGGCAAGAAAATTATCCCAGATAAGGCTGTTCTTGGCTGCACTGAGGCAAAGGCATGTGCTCAGCATCCAGAAAGGTTCTTCTTGTTGGTTTTCCTTCCTGGCTCTTTATACTTGGGTGAAATGATCTCTTGGAAGTGTAGTCTGAAAAACAGCATAGCTTCTTCCAAGTTCTCATAAGATACAGGAGTCTCCATTCATTACTTCAATAAGCATTACTGAGCACCTTTTATGAGCAAGGTAGGACGACGGAGGCAGGGCCAGGACCTCATCATCTGGTGAGGGAGACAGGCGGTTACACACACAGGGAGGAACTCCTCCTACCCAGAAGTAGGCAGGGTTGGAGATTCGGGATTGAAGCGTTCCTGGAAGAAGTGGAATCTGCAGAGTTTTGAAAAGAGGGGGTGTTAGGTGTAGCAATCAGACCATTTACCTGTTATAACTGCTTTTCATTCTGACCCACAGGGAAAACAATTATTCCTAGGGTTAAATGATGGGACGGATGTTCAGAAAGGAAAAAAATAATAATTTGAATTGCTGAAAGGACCGCCTGACAAGACAAATTACTGGAGAGTCTTCAAAGACACTTTGAAATGCCGAGCAACCTGTACTTTAAATGATCCGTTCAGAATTGCAAATCCTACAGAACTCCATTTCTGCTAGGAATCCCAGTGGCTTTGTAGTGGGTGGTATTTTTAATTATCAAGTATCAGTCTTGCAGGCTTTCTCTTTTTTGTCACATTTGATTTAAAGTACAAATGGGAGCAAAAGTTACAAATTGCACACAGAGAGACACTCAGTGTGTGAAATTGTGGACATGGTTCAGAATATGTTTATTTGGAATCCGCTGAGGTGATGGGAGAGATGGGACTGGATACTCATGTTCTTATTTGGAAAGGAGACATTCTCGCCGCCTTTCCCATGTGCCCGCTTGCTTTTCTCTGCTTCCAGCCTGATATTTTATGGACTTGTGGATGAGAGGTCCTGTGCCCATCATTGCATTCCAGATTGTCATGGCTGTTATCATTGTCACCTCCACTCATTATGCCTCTGAGTCCTGGAGGGAGCATATCCCTTTAATAAGACTGAACCCTCCAGGAATTGAGACTTTGCAGAGTTCTGAGAGTAGAAGGGAAGAGAACACCATGTCTACAGGTGCTGGCTGTTTGCTTCTCTGATTTCTTTCCATCACCACTTTGCCCAAGTTACATGACTCTTTGGCCAGGTGCGGTGGCTCACACCTGTAATCCCAGCACTTTGGGGGGCCAAGGCAGGCAGATCACCTGAGATCGGGAGTTCGAGACCAGCCTGACCAACATGGAGAAACCCTGCCTCTACTAAAAATACAAAAATTAGCCTGGCATGGTGGTGCATGCCTGTAATCCCAGCTACTCGGGAGGCTGAGGCAGGAGAATCACTTGAACCCAGGAGGCAGAGGTCGCAGTGAGCCGAGATCACGCCATTGCACTCCAGCCTGGGCAACAAGAGTGAAACTGTCTCAAAAAATAAATAAATAAATAAAAAATAAAAGGATTCTTCAAGCCTCTTTTCTTGTATGTAAAAGAAGGAATTGAACCTTGAGGATGGTTCCTAAGACCCCTACCAAATCCAGCAGCATTCTCTGCTTCTAGGTATTAAGATTCTCAGGGAAGGTTTCCGACATTCTTAGTAGCCCTGAAGGAGGCAGATCTTTGTAAATGCATTTGCTGTCCTGGGAAACAAGATGGTGTTAAGATAAGGAAGCTCCATTTCTCTTGCAGTTATAACCCAAGGCAGAGCCTCCTGATTAATACACCTGGCTTACAACTCACTATTTTGGCTTAAACAGAAATGTCAGTGCTTCCAAAGCTTTCACTGAGACACCTTCTTTGAAAAAAAAAGTTTCTTTTATTTTAAAAGAAGCAAACAAACTCTCTTCAACAGCTCCCTTTATTTACTTATTTATTTATGTAGCTTTCTATGAAGGCTTAGCAAATAAAACAGATAAAATTAGAAATTGAGGTAGAGTTGACAGTAAAAACCCTTTTCCTCCTACCAGGGGATCTCTGCAGAATAAGGCCTAAAGCCCACTGGTTTGAGAGAACATCCTCCAGCAAGGTGCTTTCCAAGCAAGGGAAAAACTAGAAGTAGTGAAATACACCTGATGCTTCCTGCAGAGACTATGCCATCCTGTGTGACCGTAACATATAAACATCACATACCAGGAGGACATGATCATTTAAATAGACAGCAATGTTGTCCTTCAGTCTAGGCAATGGGTGTGCCCCAAGGCCAGTGTGAGGGTCCGGGAGACAGGAATCTGTATATTTCTTACCTGCCTCTCATGATTTGAGCACCTTGCTCTGCTAAGTGTCCCCTGAAGAAAGAGCCACTTCTCCCAAAGGTGGAAGAAAGTGAGGCCCTGTGGGTCGTATTGCACTCAGATATGTTGGACTCACTGTGGTATGTCTTCCTGCGGAATTTTCTAGGAAATTTTTACTGTACTTGTTCTATACACACACACACACACACACACACACACACACACACACACAACCCTCAGAATATGTGCCTGTACTGTTCAATAACTTACACATTGAACTAGGAGCCAGGGATCTGGGATTACTGACCAGTGGCAGTGGTCACTTGTTGTAATGTCTTTGTTGCACTTCCCAGCCTAATGGCCATAGTGCCCTGCATGGGTAGGAGTTCCCCTCCCTGAGAGAAGTCTGGGCATTAGCACTTTAGTGAGCTTCAAAAATCTAGTCAGTCAACTCCCTAACTAGGTACCAGTGAAGATGCACTACCTGCTAGCATTTTGCAATAGTTTTATCCACTCATGCGAGGTTCTGTGTAGGGACAACCCATGTAAGGCCCCTGTTTTACCTACTATGGCTGCATCAAAATCAACACAAACTTAGTGATTTAAAAGAACTATTTATGATATTCGTGGATCTGTAGATCAGAAATTGGGGTGGGGCACAGTGAGGAGGGTGTCTCTGCTCCACAATGTCTGGGTGTTAGCTGAATGACTTGAAGACAGGGGCTGGGACCATCTGAAGGTTCAGTCCTTCCCAAGTCTGGCTGTTGACTAGGGCTTTAGCTGAGGCTCTCATCCAGACATCTACAAACAGCCCGTCCATGTAGCTGGGGCTTCCTCACAACATGGAGACTGGGTTCCAGGGTGGGTGATCTGAAAAGACATGTCACCTTTTATGACCTGACTTTGCAAGTCAGGCAGTGTCACCTTCACTATGTTCCATACATTGAAGGAATTTCAAGGGCCATCCAGGTTTAACAGGAGAAGTAATAAACTCTGTTTTTTGATGGTGGAGAGGCAATATTCCAGAAAAGTGTGTTGCTATGACCACACCTACACTCTGCCATACCTGGGCATGGCATGGAAATGGCCAAGGAAGTTTTGCCTAGTCCCTCATTTATGGACTAAGAGGCAGGACCTGGGCAACTTTGCACAGCTGATACCCATGGTTCTTTTTTTTTTTTTTTTGAGATGGAGTCTCCTCTGTTGCCAGGCCGGAGTGCAGTGGTGCGATCTTGGCTTACTGCAACCTCCGCCTCCTGGGGTCAAGCAATTCTCCTGCCTCAGCCTCCTGAGTAGCCGGGACTACAGGCCTGCACCACCACACCCAGCTAATTTTTGTATTATTAGCAGAGACAGGGTTTTACCATGTTGGCCAGGATGGTCTCGATCTCTTGACCTTGTGATCCACCTGCCTCGGCCTCCCAAAGTGCTGGGATTACAGGCGTGAGCCACCGCACCCAGCCAATACCCATGGTTCTGATCCCACCCTGCTCTCTCTGGACAGACAGATTTCTTTGGACAGAACAGAATTTTTTACCAGATTGATAGAAATATATTAATCTACCCTCTCATCAGCTGTCAATTCTCAGTTTAGGTCTAAACTAATTCTATTCTCAAGATTCCAAGTGAGAGCATTATAGTAAAATAATACATCTCTTAAGTCATATCTACCCAGTTCACATTCAGTATCCTCTCAGTTCAGAATCAGAAGCTGTCAGACCAACAAGTAGAGGTTCCTGCACAAGCCTGAGAGAGATCCTGTAACTTGTGCCTTGGAAAAACAGCCCCACGAAAGAATGCCAGACAGATCTTCTCTTAGCAAACATGGTGACTTGAGCTCTCTGAATTTGTTCCCTTATGCTACATTGTTTGTTTTTTAATCTCTAAAAAAACTAAAAAAAATTTCAGGTAAATTTTCTTCCTTTTTCATTATGGTTTGAATTAGGGTTTTTGATAACTTTTTTTCCAAATTTTAGGGATGTTAAAGGTTCAGGAAAGTATAAAGAAGAAAATAAAAATTTCCCATAATACTGCCCCACAAATAATAATTATAAATATTTTGATGCTTTGCCTATTTGAGTTATTTCATCATCATTAAATGCTCTTTTATTAAAAATGACTTTAATGGCTAAATACAAATCTGCTGTACCAGAACTTATTTAACTATTCCCTTTATTGTTTGACAATTATTTCCTCTTTCCTATACTTTTAATGCCATCATCTTTGCATGAAAAATCTTTTATTTCTATTTGATATATGTGATAGGCATTCTTCCATGCTTATTACAAGGGCTTAATAAAAGTTATTTCAATTTAAATGAACAAATTATTTCTTTTTGATAGATTCCAGGAAAGGAAATTATTGGGTCTTAAGATATGAACAATTTAAAGCGCTTGTTATGTGGTCTGAAATTGCTTTCCAAAATTTATGCCATTACTATCAATCTGCACGTAATTTAAAAAGGAAAACAGGCAGGAATTATATGTTTGGGGGAGAAATGTAAAACTGTATTTTAAATTTGTTTAATTTAGCTCTGATTTCATATTTGTTGTAGCCGTAAGATGAAGATTGAGTCATTTGATTTCGTTTAAGGGTGTTTTAAATTCCTTGGTTTTCTGTTCTGAGTCTATGCTTTTTCTCTCTTTAAGTGTGTTTTCAGTCATATATATTTTCCTGCTAACACTGTATGTTTCTCCTTCCTGTATGATTTGTGGTTTCATGACTGTCAATCATTTTTTCCCAGATGTTCTTTTTCTTAGTGTCTCATTTATTTCATGTGTGATGACGGTGTTGCTCATTATCCAGTGTCTACACTTCTGTGTAATCTCCTACCCTCAATTTCATATCTTTGATTATTTTAGGGTCAGTAAAAATATATATATATATACACACACATATATATGTATATATGTGTATGTGTGTATATATATATATATTTATCTGTGATTTTTATGTATTTGCTGTCTTCTCACCACTGTTATGGTCAATTTTGAGTAAACCTTCAAGGGTGCTTCACACTAAAGTTCCTTTAATTGTGTCCATATGTCCCCACAATTGTATGTTATTGCCACTAGATTTCTTTTCTATATACACTTACTTGCAGTAAATGCGTATAGTCATTCTGTAGCTTGTAGCTCATTCTTCAGTATACTAGACTTCTCCAATATTTACAAGTTATTTGCAGTTCCCATTAGCACTATTTTATTCTAAGGTAGTTGGCCATTGGCATGTAAATTTTAAAGCTAATATAGCAAAAATCAAATTATATACTTGGATTTAATTGTTATTTGTGGAATCTGATTATAATATTATATAATGCATAATCTCCAGACTTTTTAACAGTGACTATTACCGCACCTGGGCATTTTGTTGTTATTGTTGGGTATTCATTGTATCTTTTGTAGTAAACTTGTAGTTTAAGATGAATACGTATCTTAATAGTTTCCCTTATGCAATTTTTTTTTTTTTGAGACAGCGTCTTGCTCTGTTGTCCAGGCTGGAGTGCAGTGGCATGATCTCAGATCACTGCAATCTCCGCCTCCCGGGTTCAAGCGATTCTTCTGCCTCAGCCTCCTGAGTGGCTGGGATTACAGGCGCCCACCACCACGCCCAGCTAATTTTTGTATTTTTTTAGAGAGGGGGTTTAACCATGTTGGCCAGGCTGGTCTTGAACTCCTGACCTCATGATCCACCCGCCTCAGCCTCCCAAAGTGCTGGGATTACAGCTGCGAGCCACTGCGTCTGGTCTGCAAAAATTTTTTAGTGTATCTTCTAAGCTTTTCACTCTTAGTTAAGGAAATATTATCTTTACATTTAAGTTTTAATTCTGAGCTCATTTCTTGCTTCTCCCCCTGCTTTATTCTAAGAATCTCTATCTTCTGTTCTCATTTTCTTAACCTTGTTTATTGTTTTCCTTTACAAGTCTGTGGCCTTCTACATGCCCAGCATTCAACTTTGGGCCCTGGGATGAATGACTAACCCATGGCCCTTACCTCACTTGAGTGGACACAGAACTTATCAGAATGGTTGCACTACAAGGTGAAATTATTATTTGGGGCCTTTGAAGGAAAGGCTGGGTTTCAGAGAAGAGTGGGGAAGAATGCATGGGCAAAAAGAACAGCATGAGAGAGGGCAACGGGGTTAGTCCTATTGGCAAAGCTTAGCTTGCCTTTAGGAGAGTTGAGGGGATACAGCTGAACCATGGGCTTTGTGCGAGGTCCTATGAAGACAGAGTTTAGACTCTGCTCTGTGGTGGTTTCGTGCAGGAAAGTGACATAAAGAAGGCCCTTTTCTGGCTCATAGAAATAAGTTTGAAGGGAAAAAGTGAGAGAAGGAAGGAGCTCTAAGACTTAATTGTTCATTCATCAAATCGATCAATACTACGTGCCTGTCATGTGCCAGATACTATGCCAGGGGCTCTAGGGATAGCAGCAAAAAGACATCATCATCCTGCTCTTTTTTTTTTTTTTTTTGAGACGGAGTCTCGCTCTGTCGCCCAGGCTGGAGTGCAGTGGTGCAATCTCGGCTCACTGCAAGCTCCGCCTCCTGGGTTCACGCCATTCTCCTGCCTCAGCCTCCCAAGTAGCTGGGACTACAGGCGCCCGCCACTACGCCCGGCTAATTTTTTGTATTCTTAGTAAAGACAGGGTTTCACCGTGTTAGCCAGGATGGTCTTGATCTCCTGACCTCGTGATCCGCCCGCTTCGGCCTCCCAAAGTGCTGCATCATCCTGCTCTTATGCGGCTTAAGCTCCCATGTATGGTGGTGGTAGCGGCGGCTCTATATGCAGTATACACCTCATGGCACTTAAATTCTAGCATTCAGGGACTGTGGTCAGTGTGTAAACAAATGTTCAGTGCCCTAGTCAATTCCTGTGTCCTTAAAGGAATATTCCCTTTGTCCTTACAGGTTAGCCCAGTTGCTCCTGTGACCCCTCTCCCCACTTTTTTTAGAATCCCTATTAAATTTTGAATTTGCCCATTGATACAGCTGGAAGATTCAGGGTTTCTGTTTGATAAATCCACTTCGGGACTTGACATACTGGAAGCAGCACTTTGAAATGACCAGACAAGGGAGGTGGCCTGTGGAACTGCATAGACAAAGCTCATTCTTTGGTCATAACTTGAAATCAGTTCACAACTTCTCAAGTTTGATACCCAGGGGAGACACAGGCCCTAGCACAATTCTGACTGAGGTGCAGAAACTGGGAGAGCTCTTTCCAGGAAGCTTCCCTTTGTGTTCTGTCTGTGTCCACGGCACTAACAAGTGATCTTGTTTTCCCCCTCTCGCCAGGAATCTTACATCCTTTCTGCAGAACTTGGAGAAAAGTGTGAAGACATAGGCAAGAAGCTATTGTACTTGGAAGATCAACTTCACACAGCAATCCACAGTCATGATGAAGATCTCATTCATATCCTTTTCATCTTGCAGATGAAGCAAGGCAAAGTTATTTTATAAAAGAGAGTCTTTAAAGGGTAGTTTTTCATGCCTCAGAAGATGGCAACAAATAGATGCTGCCGTTATTTATAGCACAGAGCACCTCAGATCTCTGAGATTATCAGGTATGAAATGTTTTCGCTCTAGTTTTCAGTAAGCAATTCAGTATTTTTTTTCTTTTTTCTTTTTTTTTTTTTTTTTTTTTTGATGCCTTGGCTGGAGTGCAATGGTGTGATCTCAGCTCACTGCAGCCTCCACCTCCTGGGTTCAAACGGTTCTCCTGCCTCAGCCTCCTGAGTAGCTGGGATTACAGGTGCCCGCCAGCACGCCCAGCTAATTTTTTTGTATTTTTAGTAGAGAGAGGGTTTTGCCATGTTTGCCAGGCTGGTCTAGAACTCCTGACCTCAAGTGATCCGCCCGCCTTGGCCTCCCAAAGTGCTGGGATTACAGGCTTGGGCCACCGCATCCGGCCGCAATTCAGTATTTTTAATTGCTAAATCCAACCACTAACAATTAAGTTCAGACATGCACACGAGGAAGCCAAAGAAAATGCAGTTTCAAGTGAGTGTAAATCCAGCTCTGTGTGGCCCTGGTGAAGGAAAACAGTTGACTGGCTCGTTTTCCTACGAGCTTTTTCAATACCAAGCGTCCTAAATCCACCTCTGAATTTCTTTATCTAGCAACTCTACCTAGTAATGGGCAGTACAGTAACAAAGCAAACAGGACTTTAGATTATTTCCTTTCAACTTCTAACCATATACACATGGTTGAACTCAATTTAGTCCTTTCTGCTTCCCGGTGATAGAATTTCTTGCACCAGACTTAATATCCTTGGTGTCACACCTACAAACACCTTCATCAAAACTAGCTGCTAGTGAGCAAGATGGCCTGAGAACATACTGGCTTAGGTATGCATCCGTATGAAGCACTCCATTCTGTGTTGATCTGTGGACGCAGTTTGTCACTGGTTAGTTCTGCTGAGAGCAAATGGGTGGGTACCCAGTGGATGAAGGGATATGCAGCCCTATATCCTTTCAGTTATTTAATCACAAGTTGACACTTCTCTAGCTAAAAACACTTCCCTATTCATTCATCTTTCTATTCAGTAGAATGTCTTTTATTAGATGCGTTTGTGGCAAATTTAGCTATTTTGGTCTTTGCTTGTCATTGCTGTCTTACTTTTTAGAATTCCAGTTTTTACCATACTTTATGGGCTGTGTGTGTGTGTGTGTGTGTGTGTGTGTGTGTGTGTATAAGTAGCTTTGAATGGCCAAGGATTAATCTTAGTCATAAATACTCAGATCTGTGATTTAATGATAGAGCCAATGCTACACTTCCTTCCTTGTTATAACTTTACATTTTTGACCTTGTTTATTAAGCTGGGCAGAAAATTTCTTCAACTTAATCTGCAATGATTTTCACATTGCTTTAGGTAGATTTTGAAAAGCAGATATTCTGTTCTTCATAATTTCCTGCCTCTTAAAAATCTTGTATTTAAGCTATTATCAGAAAGTTTCCCAAAGAAGCATACAAACATAGAATAAGGATGGCGTTTTTATTTATTCCATGTTCATGGGATCACAAATCTTTGAGCACGTGTAAGGGGGTATGGCTTCCAGCAAATGGGCAGGTGATGGGGCACAGAGGAGGAGTCCGCTGCAGAGAGTCAATGGATATGAAGGGGTTCCCGTTCCCCAGCTCAGCAGATGGGCAGTTCCTAAGTGGGTTGTACCTCTGTCTTCAGGTAGCAGTTCTGAGGGCTGCAGTCAGGGTTCTGTACTGGTCTCTTATTGTGAAATTTTCTAAAAGGTTAGTTTGATTCTGGGGAATTGGATCTTATTTTTACTAGAGCTGGGGAGGCAGCTCTAGTAAAGACCCCTGAAAAACAAGGGGTTAAGCAGTATTTAAACAAGATCCTTTTAGTTTTTCCACAGCTGATCCAAGCCAGATTTAATAGCAGCGGGATCATGGACAAGTGATAATGCCTCTTTAAGCATTAGGGTTCCCATCTGTAATGTCAGGATAACATACACCTCTAAGGTTTTTATGGGGGTTAAATAAGGCTATATTCATAATGTACATTTAATATAGCCATGGGTAAGTGCATGATTTTAGGTAGAAAAGTGTTATCCAAGTCCATTTGTCTCACAGTTCTTAGTATATTAGTCACAAGCTCCAAGAACATCCCATTTATACACAAAAAGTTTCAAGGTAGATTGATTCAACTATTTTGTAATAAATGCTTGAAGGAATCAATCAGTAACTCCACAGTGGCTTAGATGAAAAGTCATTTAATTATAATAAAACTTCTATAAATGGATAGGGATTATTATCCCTACTTGACAGTCGAAAAAAACAAGGCTTGGGAACAACTTGGCTGACACAAGGTCATTTCTGATGAGTAGCAGAACTTTTCAGCCACAAGCCCCATGGTCCTATTAGGCCCATCAGAAAGCAGCCATTGCCTATAAGTAAATGGACAGGTCTGTTCCATGGAACACACAATTACTTTAAATTTTTAAGCTATAATAAAAGTATTTCACTGATGTTATGTTTTTTGAGAATTTCACTGATCTCTGTTGTGATAAGCGGAGAAGCACTGGTTTAGGTACTGAAGTCAGCTCTCTCCCTCCCTCCAATAAAATCTACACCACGATATGGATTTCAACCCAGACTTTTCTTCGAATCCCAGTCTTCTGTCACTGATTGAGAATAAATACACAGAAGGTGTCTTTGAATTCATACAAAGCAGCACTTAAATTTGAGTGGAACATTATGCCCTAAGATAGAAAGACATGTTTACAAGGCTCTACGGAGGCTCCCCTACACAAACCAAAGCCGTTGTTTCAAATTAGAGCTTATCTAGAGATTCAGAGAGGCTGCCAGAATCCTCCAGCCAAACTCTGACTGGTTTGTATTTCCATGTTTGATCAAAGATACAATGCTGAGTGTGGCTGAAAGAAACAGCTTGTTGTCAACAATACAGAAGGATTGCACAGTGAGTGCAGTGTTTTGTTTGATTCCATTAAGCATGCTGCCAGAGCCTACTGTGCATGTGAGGTACCCAATTAATCTAAGTCCACATTGGAATGTGATTAATGTAAGCCCACATTGGACGTCCACGTCTGAAAGATTCAAGCCACAGATGCTACCATGGATGTTTATTCTTTGTGTGGAAAACACTCAGTTTTTGCATAAACCATGTGTGTACATAAGGGCTATTAGTGTGGCATCAACAGAGGTTAGGGGTGGGCAGTGGGACTGAGTTTCCAAATAGGTCCTTGTGGCCTCCTGATTTAATATCCGAGTTATGGGCAGCCTCATGGGTGTCTCCTACTTTTATTAAGAAGACACTGATTGACCAATCCAAGGAGGGAGAGGAAAGAGCCTTTGCCTCTTCATCGTCCTGACAGGCTCACCAAATTACATGTAGCATGACCAAAGAACAACACAAACCCATCAGCTACTGTGGCAGCGAGTGTCTGAAAACAGTCTGCACCATTAATTGGGAGAGCTGGTGGTGGAGAGGTGGCTCACGCCTAGTGCCTGAGAAGGGGACAGGAGGTGTGACTTCACGGCCAGTCAAGTCGGGACTTCCAGGAGCATTAGTGTGAGTCTCTAGTGCATTTTCACAGTCATCTGGGGTCCTAATTAGCAGTATGTTTTGAAAAACATTTTGACTGTGTGCAAGGTCTCCTCCACGCTCAAAATATTGTAACCAAAAGCCTTCCAAATTAAGGTGGATTTTTAAGCAGGAATTTTCTCATTTTCTTCCTCCTTCAATTTCTACAACACACTTTCAAAGGAAAAGAAGTACACCTGTGATATGTACATTTTTGGCATATTTCAAAGCCCTCAGGGCAGTTCTGCCTGGCCCTCAGTCATAGACGAGGTAGAGACACTCTGATTCTATTTGTGGTTGTATTTACATCCATGTCTGGGAAGCCCTTATGGAATTCTGTTTCTCTGGTTATTTGGAGTGCATGGTGCCCAATTGTTTAGTTTTGGTGGTGCTTGAGGGCATGCTCTAAATACATCCAGGTTTGTGCACAAATACCACAGCTCCGTAGGACCCTTGTTTAGTTCAACTTTCCAAATTTTAGCGTGAACAGACAAAGGTAACGAGAGTTTTGGGAGACTGTCCTGCCTCCTTGGAGATGTTTTCCACTTCTAGAGCTGAGGGGCTGGAAGAGGGATCATGAGGATCATGGAGCTCCACTCATGTAGTTTATAGATAAGAAAATCCAGAGCCTGGCCAGGTGCGGTGGCTTACATCTTAATCCCGGCACTTTGGGAGGCTGAGGTGGATGGATTGTTTGAGACCAGGAGTTTGAGACCAGCCTAGGCAACATGGCAAAACCCTGTCTCTATTAAAAATACAAAAATTAACTGGGCGTGATGGTGCACACCTGTAGTCCCAGCTACTCCAGAGGCGTGAGAATTGCTTGAACCCAGGAGGTGGAGGTCGCAGTGAGCTGAGACTGCACACTACTACACTCCAGCCTGGGCAACAAAGTAAGACACTGCCAAAGAAGGAGGGAGGGAAGGAAGGAAGGAAGGAGGGAGAGAGGAGAGAGAGAGAGAGAACAGGAAGGAAGGAAGGGAGAAAGGAGAGACAGAGAGAGAGGAAGGAAGGAAGGGAGAAAGAGAGAGAGAAAGAGAGGAAGGAAGGAAGGAGAAAGAAAGATAAAGAAAGAAAAAGAAAGAAAAGAGGAAGGAAGGAAGGAGAGAGGGAAGGAGAGAAAAGGAAAGGAAAAGGAAAAGAGGAAAGAAAAGGAAAGGGAAGGGAGAGGGAAAGGAGAAGGGAAAGGAAGAGAAGGGAAGAAGGGAAGGGAGAAGAGACAAGGGAAAGGAGAAGGGAAAAGGGAAAGGAGAAGGGAAGGGAGAAGGGAAGGGAGCAAAAGGGAAGGAAAGAAAGAAAGGAAAGGAAAGGAAAGAAAGAAAAGGAAAGGAAAGAAAGAAAACCCAGAGCCTAAGATGACAGTATCTAAAGCTTTGTGTGTGATGGGCTGGTGCAGATATAGTAGTCACAGTTCTTTCCTTAGGCTCTCACTTGGCTTTGGAGTGGGACGGGGAAGAGTTGGAGCCCCACAGTGGGTGGGGGAGGGCAAGGGCGTAGACACAGGGCTGTCCTGCTGCTGGCTGAGCACGAGGTGGGCTTGGCACAAGGTAGGCAACACAGAGTTTCTGTGTACAAGCATCAAATCCTTTGAATCAATCTTGGGTATAGTCAAGGTTTTCCTCTTTGCTCTTGAAAGACTGTGATCCTCATGGCTTTTCCATGAGGATCTCCAGTACCAAATTCTCCAGCACTATGGGCTGTAGTGGCTACCCAGGAAGGAATGGTGGTAAGAAGAAATAATGTAGCAAAAGAGTAGCACTTTCAAAGGATAAGAGAGTCCCTTATCTGAAATGCTTGGGACTAGAAGTGTTTTGAAGTTCTGCTTTTTTTCAGATTGTGGAATATTTGCATTATACTTACCAGTGGAGCATACCAAATCCAAAAATCCCAAATCTGAAATGTTCCAATGAGCATTTCCTTTGAACATCACGTCAGTGCTCAGAAGGTTTTGGATTCTGGAGCATTTCAGATTTTGGATTTGGGGATTTGGGATGCTCAACTTGTTCTATTGTTTCTTTTTGAATCAAACTAGGTCAGATGAACCGAAGACCTAAATTTGACTAAGCCATTGAAATGCTTACTTGGACACTTCATTAACAGTAAAACACTCAATTGTTTTCTTATAAAAACAGAAGACTCCATCTAAAGAATTCCAGGATCTTTTGCAAATGGTACCCCAAATGACAATATTGCCTTATCATCTATTCCTGAATGCACCTGTCCTGCTGTCTTACTCCTTTGCTAATTGCAAACACAGACATTTTAACAAGTTACATGCTTACCTACCATGTGGATAGTCTATTCCAAGGAGGTACAGAATGGCCTTGGGTTCCAAAGGTGTTTTAAAGATGTTAGGATGTTCATCCCTGCGACGTTGTTATAATGAATCTGCTAATTTTCTTAGATACCACAGGTACTTGGTGGCATATCTGTTATGGGGGGCAGATACTTAGCTACTCAGGTCCCTAAGGCACAGGCTTCATAAGAATTATTCTGCTTTTTTGAGGCCTATTCTTGCAATTAGGTGCAGTTAGCACCTCTATTCTAGTTTTGGAATTTGCCTAAATTGTCAATAGTTTTGGAATTTGCCTAAAATTTCTATTTGCCTAAAATTCCAATTGTTTTTCAGCTCTTTGACAACAATTAAGGTCAAGGTCAAGTGTTTCAATGGGCTTCAACTATGAGCTTATTGGATTAGTGATCAGAAAATCTGATTATAGCTACTACTTAGCCTTAAGATCTTGCTTAGATGTATCAAATGAGATAGTTTATTTTTCTGTAAGTCAGTGAGAAAATGTTGTAAAACACTTTTTTTTAATTTATGGTTCAATATGAATGCCAGACTTATATCTGTTTTCTACTCAGCATCTTCTCTTGGCTAATAAGCTTGTCCAACTTACCCTGTCTAAAATCCAATTCCCTCCCTCCTCTACCAAAAACACCAAACGCTCATTCCTAGTCCTCTTCTTCTCAATAAAATACAGATGTGTTTTTCTAATTATTTGCTCAGATAAAAAATCAGGGAGTCCTTCTTAATGCCTTTTCCATTTTCCATATCCCACATCCAGTCTGTCACCATATATATGCTCTTGGTTGTATCTGCAAAACACATCCAGAATCTAGCCACCTCTCCTACCTCCACTGCCACTGCCCTGTTCAAGCCATGATTGTTTCTTGCCTGAACTATTGCAGTGGTCTCCTAACTGGTCACTCTGTGCTTCCGCCCTTATCCTCTTTAATCCATTCTCAGCACAGCAGCCAAACTGACGATGTCACCCCTCTGCTCCAGGTCCTCCCACGGCTCCTCCCATCTCACTGTGAACACAGCACAGCTGGACATAACTACCAACATGGCGCCTGTTTACTTTCTGCTGCACTCATAGGTATTTATGCCATCTATGATGGCAGTGACTTTGATTCACTCCTGTGCTGCTGTGTCCATAACATTTGTTAACACACAGTAGAAACTCAGGAAACATTTGAATGTTTGAATGAGTGAAAGAAAGAAAGAGGATCTCTCTCTGCACTTTCATTTCTCCCAACTGCTTAACAGGGAAATGTTTCCAGTGGTTTATTTTATAAACATATTGATTTAAATATGAAAGCAATGCATTTCCATTGTGAATATCACAGAAGTATGGAAAATAAAGCTGTTTCCCTCCCAGTGCCTCTACCTAGAGGTCACTACTTTGTCCTCCTGAAGCCTTTTTCTAGAGCTATAAATGGCTTATCTCAATAGTCTTGTTTGCAAAATTAGGATCATTCCATATAAATTATTCTACAATATGCTTTCCCCCACCCCATTCTGCATTTTTTTTTCTGGGGACTTTTCCATTTCAGTACATCCAAAATGCTTTGTAACTCACATTTTGTAAGGGATCCTACAGGCAGGTTGGTTAGAGAGAAGTACTTTGCAAATAAAATGTGATTTTAATTATTATTTTGATGATTATTACCCCTACAGGCTCATTAAATGAGGTTTCTAGGATTTCTGGTGTCTAACCCTGCTTTGACAGAGCCTAAGGTATTTGTTACATCTGTTATATTAAGAAATAAACCTTAAATCTCATGATGACTCACAAAAGACACTATACTCTCACAAGGAAAAAATATTTCTTTGAACCCTAACCCTATGAGGAAGGTACAAGATTCAGTATTTTACAAGTAGAATAATTAAGCATTGATTGATTTGCTGAGCTTACCATAGCTAGGGAGTTATCTCCTCAAATGCTGGTTTTCTGACACCTTCTGTGTTAGCGATTGTTGTATGAGCGGCTGATGTGTTAATTTAGTTATAGACTAACTTCATCCTTTGCTTTTGTAACTTCTCACTCCTTATTTTTAACCTTTTCAGTGGGTTCTGCCAGTTCCAGAAGATTTATCAGTTTTTAAAGAAACATCACATTTTGGTTCAAGTTCTCTCTCTAAAAACCTTTGTCATCATTTAGCACATTACAAATAGTGGCATGTAGTCCCAGGCTGCATGTCAAAGGTAATTAAATCTCAGGAGTTGGTCAGGATTCATAAACTGCTTAAGCTCCATGCCTGCTCTTCACAGATGTGGCATGACTTTGTGATTAAATTCCAGTTTGGTATTCAGTCTGGGACCACTTATGCTTTTGCTTGTATAAAGTGGTATATGTTTTCAATAAAGATTAGCGGAACTATGTAAGAAATGGAAGCAACCAAAGCCTCTTAAAAAAAAAAAAGAAAGAAAGGTAAATATTGGATTCTTTCCTCCCCTGATCACCCTCCTACCCAACTCCCATTTTCCTCAAGTTCAAATGCAAGGAGAGAACCCTAGCAGTAAATGCATGTAAATTACGCAAATGATAGAGTCTGGGGAAGCTTCAAGAGGGTGAAAAACTGCCAGAACTTTTCAGGGTGGTTCAGCACGTTTGCTTAGAAGAGATTCATTTCCATCATTCCCAGGATCCTCTGGAGTTCCTTGTTCAAAAAAGAAAGGAGGCTGGGCATGGTGGCTCATGCCTGTAATCCCAGCACTTTGGGAGGCCAAGGCAGGCAGACTGCCTGAGGTCAGGGGTTCAAGACCAATGTGGCCAACATGGTGAAACCCCATTTCTACTAAAAATACAAAAATTAGCATGGTGGCACACACCTATAATCCCAGCTATTTGGGAGGCTGAGGCAGGAGAATCACTTGAATCCCGGAGACGGAGGTTGCAGTGAGCCGAGATCGCACCACTGCACTCCAGCCTGGGCTACAAGTGCAAAACTCTGTCTCAAAAAAAGAAAAAAGAAAGGGAAAGCTTTCCACAGTGGTTCGTAAGGGTGTCTTTTTCTCTTTTTGTTGCATTGACATTGCACTTTGGGAAAACCACATTGTAGTGTAGGTGGTCTGTAAACAGTCAGACTCCCTTTCCCAAAGCTCCCCATTCCCTCCATGTCTGATCTAGTACTGTTGTAGTGGTCTGGCTTCATGTGATGACTTCAGCATATTTAGGTGGTGTCAACATATTTCTACTTTCTCCCTTGGTCCCTGTTGGATGAAAGTGGATCAATTTGCTTGTTAAACCCAACGCTCACCCTGCATTTGCCTTAGAGTTGTTCTGACTACAAGTAAAAAGGGAAAGGATGAACTGGATGACGTATGGACAGAAAAACCACTGTTGGTTAAACATTCCCCTGCTTGAACACCCAGACGAGAACCCGTTTCTTAAGAGAACTACAGCCTTATCTATTACTGTTTGCTAAGTTCTCTATGATTGTTTTCTCCATGTGAGAAATAACTTTATAGGTTAGAAAACTAAGAGCCCAACAGCTTAAGAAAAGAAAAGAACCAACCAACCAACCCAGAAAAAGCAAGCTCTCTTTGCCCTTTGATGGACTCTATCAAGTCTTGAGTGCCCTTCCTAGTTCCTGGGAATATACTAACAGATAACAGCAGGTTAGAGCCTGGAGAGGTTTCAAAGTCATCATTTCAAGAGAAAACTGAGGCTTTAACTGGTTTGCATAGGGTGACAAGGCTGGTTAATGGTGAACAGAGACCATGTTAATAACTGAGTCTGCTCCAGTATGCCTCTCCCTACTTATGGCAACCCCAAATCCTGTATTTCTCAAGGAGATTTTGATTTCAAGCATTCTACCCTTTCCACTGTCAAGAGTATTTGCATCTGACAGTTGCCCCACCCCAACTTGGGGCTTAGCCGGAGTTATGGTCACGCCAACTGCATATCATTGAGCATCTGAGTTGACCATCTGTCTCTGCTAAGAGCTGACTCTTCCATTTCCTTTTTAAGACCTGACTTGAGAGAGTCAATACCTCAGGCATTGTAGAAATTGCGGTCATTCTAAAATATAAAAGTGTAAAGTTTATATTAATATTTAATTCATACAATTGGAAAGAACTTTAAACTGCAATTAGGTGTCAGTACCCATCTGCTTCCAGCAGGCTCACACGCTCTTCGATCCCTCGGAGGCCGCAGAGGGCCACGATCACCTTCGAATGTGCTCCTTAACAATGTGCCCACAGTCTCTCAGGAGGGAGCTCCAGATGGTGAAGGAAACTCTGCAGGCCATGATCCTGCAGCTCCAGCCAGCAAAGGAGGCGGGAGAAAGAGAAGCTGCAGCTTCCTGCATGACAGCTGGTGTCCACGAAGCACAAGCCTGAGGAGTGACGGGATGGGGGAGGGAGGTGGGCCACCATGTTTGGACCCGGGGGGCTGCTCTTCCCTCCCCCGCCATAGCTAAGATGCCTGAATCAATTACGGAGATACAGAGCCTTGAGGTCTTTCAGTGGAAAGGTGGTTCATGTTCATTCTCATCAGTGTGAAACTGAGGAGTCTGCAATTTGGAATATGGAGAGAGAGACTGATTTGCTGAATTTCCTTCTAAATGTCACTCAAAAATTTCTTTTCCATGTCATTCTTGGGAATGTCTTCCACAGGATTTGAGAATAGTTTCATCTCAGCCCCCATTAGAGAGAAGTTGGGGTGAATTCTGGAAAAATGTCTCTTTTTCCTGTGCCATTTGCCTTCTGCTGCAACGAAAATATTTCCTGATTCAAGATTCTATAAAAAGGAAACCAAGCATAAGACTCTGTCATCATACCTGTTACACGTTCCTACAGGTGCACAATCTAAGAGAGCTAATTAACCTCAGAGTCTGGAGTTAACAGCTTTTCACCTTACTTCTCCTGTGATCTAATATTATCTTAGAAAAATTAATATGCAATTTCCAAAAGATATTTTGGTAAGACAACAACCTCCCAGTGATATGCCACCTTTCAATTTTCCTTTTGTGGCAATGATTGCATCTGAAGAAAGGATCCCTGAGAGTCTCTGTTTCATCAGGACATTCTGAAATTTACCCACAGTGAGGCTGTGGATGGATCAGGGGACCTGTATAAAATGTTTGAGCCTGTTCCATTTTCCCGTGGAACCTGTTTCACTCAATGCCAGGCAGTGCAGCATTTAGGAAAGCAGTGCAGTACTCAGTAAGGCAGTGCAGTACTCAGTAACACAATACAGTACTCAGGCAGTGCAGTACTCAGTAAGACAGTGCAGTGCTCAGTAAGGCAGTGCAATACTCAGTAACAGTGTAGTACTCAGTAACAGTGAAGTACTCAGTAATACAGTACAGTATTCAGTAAGGCAGTGAAGTACTCAGTAATACAATACAGTACTCAGTTAGGCAGTGCAGTACTCAGGAATGCAGCACAGTACTCAGGCAGTGCAATACTCAGTGCGGTACTCAGTAACACAGTGCAGTACTCAGTAACAGTGCAGTACTCAGTAACAGTGCAGTACTCAGTAAGGCAGTGCAGTACTCAGTAACACAGTGCAGTACTCAGTAATACAGTACAGTACTCAGTAAGGCAGTATGGTACTCAGTAAAGCAATGCAATGCTCAGTAACACAGTGCAGTGCTCAATAAGGCAGTGCAGTGCTCAGTAAGGCAGTGAATTGCTTAGTAACACAGTGTAGTGCTCAGTAGGACAGCATAGTACTCAGTAACACAGGGCAGCTAGTACTCAGTACTATAAGTACTGAGTACTTATATAGGCAATGTAGTACTCAGTAAATCAGTGCAGTACTCAGTAATGCAAGGGCATTTCAGGCTCCTGCTGGGCTGCTTCTTTGGCCCAGCTGGGACTCCTATTGAGACAGCTGCAAAACAGGCTGATTTCAATTAGGCAGCACTTCCCAAAGTGCACTGAGGAAGGTGGCCCCAAGAGAAGCTCTCTAAACAAAGGAGTACCCTCTCTGGTCAAGTACCTTTGGTAAATACACCATACCATAATATCTGCTTGGAGAACCACAATGCACATTAGCATATTAGTCTGAGAGAGAACTTATAGTAAGGAAACTCACTTGATTTTATCTAACCTCAAACTTTCCAAGTTTAATGGATCGTGAATTTTTTTCATGTAACTCCTATTCATATCCCATAGATCTAGTATTGTACAGCACTGCATTCTCTGAGGAAGTCCCAGTCCAAACTCTGATTTACATCACTTTAGAAACCACACTCACACTTTTGCAGAGTGTTGAGCTTAATAACTACCTGCCACAGATTGGTAAATTTAATCCAGTGGTTGTTCTGTTTGTGCTTCTGTTCTCATTTATGTGTTTAGGGATAGTGAGGTTCCTGCCTTCACTAGGATCCACGGATATGAGACCATTTTTGTCATTTCCTGAAGTCACACTGGCGTTTCCAGAAGGCATCTGGTGCTTTGCTCAGCCTTCCATGCTGTGCAGCACTTCTGTCCTCAGTCAAGGAGATGGCCATGCTTAAGCCAGCAATTGGCTGGGGTCCAGGAAACAAAGCAAAAGCACAATATGTGAATGTGCTGATTGTGTTCCCTATGGCTTTATCTCGAGCAAAATACACTCTACATATTTTAATAATAAGTATAATTAGCTTGTTCCTGGACTTCATTTTCAATGATGAACCAAATTCCTGAATTATTTATAATTGTGTCTAAAGAAAATTATGAACTGGTCACATGGCACTTGGAATCCTTGAGTTAATTCCAGTGAAGCAAAACTTGGGAAGAGTCAGGATTGGCCACATTGCCAATAACAAATTCCTACTTCGACATATGTCTTTTCAAAAAGCCTCCCAGACACAAGACATCTTAACCGTCACTAGCCCAAGTGTTTTGTATTACTCAGACACCATCATGAAATAATTCTGTGAGGTCATGATGTATTTGAAAATTCTGCAAGTTAATAACTGCCTTGAATTGTTTGAACCCGAAATAAGGGTTCTTTGGTACCTCTAGTAGATAGTGTGTTCATTTCCCTGCTGCAAATTTTGAAGTATTTGGGCAGGTGAGTCATGTTTTAACCACAAGCCATAACTCATCTGTTGTCTTTGCTTGGTCTTAGAGTATCATTCAGAAAGTCCGCTAAGGGCCAGCGTGCTTCTTCTGGCTACACAACCTTCTCAGGACAAGCCCACTGTCTTAAGCCACTTTGACCCTGGGAGACACAGGACTGTGTATCCTCAATCATACTATACAGCAGTTTTTGTCAGGGGAACATAAAAATATCCAAGAGAGGTTAGGGCTTAGATTTAAAAGCATCAAAACAACAACAATGGAAATTTATGTTGGCGATAGCCAAGACCACAAGCAAAAGCACATACTGGAAATGATGAGTTAGAATCTGATTTGACTGGGATGTTTTATGAGAATGTAAGTGTGATATTATACTGTCTGCCTTGCTGGAATGCTGGCTTTCAAATGGTCACCCATTTTTCTTTCACTGGCCTGAGTTAGGACATGCTATCAGTAATAGTCCCAGTTCCATCCAACTTTCTGAAATTTCATTTTTTTTTTTGAGATGGAGTCTCTCTCTGTCACCCAAGTTGGAGTGCAGTGGCCCCGCAATCTCGGCTCACTGCAACCTCTACCTCCCAGGTTCAAGCTATTCTACTGCCTCAGCCTCCCAAGTAGCTGGGGTTACAGGCATTTGCCACCGGGCCCTGATGATTTTTGTATTTTTAGTAGAGACAGGGCTTCACCATGTTGGCTAGGAGGGTCTCAAACTCCTGACCTCAGGCGATCCACCCCCACCTCGGCTTCCCAAAGTGCTGAGATTACAGGTGTGAGCCACCGCACCCGGCCAACTTTCTGAAATTTCAAAACTGAATTGATCCTTCTCCAAATTAGTATATACTATTGGAAACTTGTCTTTCCCTGCAGTAAGGCTGGTTTCCCCACCCCAGAAACATGTAACGGTTGGTACCATGCTAAGCCCTTGCCATGCTAAGCCCTTTACAGTCATATCCTATAATCCCCATATCAACCTTATAAGGAAGGTGTTTGTAGATGATGCAACTGAGCCTTAAGAGGACTAATTCCCTTTTTCTAAGGCACAGAGCTGGTAAAATGTGAAGTAATAGTGAACCTAACAGTCAGAGACAGGCAGCATGCTCTTAACTAGTGCTCTTCCTAAAGTTCCTTTAATGTCCTTTTGAGATTTTGAGCCATGGAACTTACTTGTTCACCTGGCTAAGAACTCATGGCCACTGTGGAAATCTTGGTTAGGGAGTCAAAGAAACTGAGCCTGGGGCAAACGAGGCTTCCCACACTGCCAGGGGAGCCTCACTGTGAAGTCTAGGCTCAGACAGGCATCAACAAACCTATTCACCCCACCATCATCCTGATCTAACCATTCCCCAGTCATCCCAGGAAAACCACTCACAGCCTGACACTGGGCTGACTTTCTTGAAGATCCTCATCCAATTGGTGTTTTTCAGAAGTGTTCCAATATTATGAATTCTGTGTTGTGGAGAAAAGCAACCATGCATTTACTGGTCAATGCCTTCTTGTATATGTAATTCAATACTTTTACTTTTAATATCCTCACCTTATCTAATCTTTGAATTTTGTCATGTAATTTATTGCTTCATTAAGGTTACTTTTTGTTATACAAAATAAAAGCTGATATCCAAGGCATGGTGCATCTTGATGATTTTTTGTCCTTTGAAGTATGGATGATAGAAAAATGTATCAGGTTTATTCATCTCATCTTTCTGTTACAGGATGATTAATTGTACAGTTACATCACACGAAACATTTATAATAAAGTCATGCTTTAGAATTGCACGTGTTTACTTTCAGATATCAGCAAATCAGAAAATCATGAAATATTCTATTCCCAGACTCCTAGATTAAGGAAATTGAAACTAACATTACCACTAGAGTTGGGAACAAGACAAAGATACCCACAATACCACTGAAAATATTTTACTGGAGATGCTGGCTAATTTAGTTAGGCAAGAAAAATATAGAAGGGTTACAATTTGGAAAAGAAAAAATAAAGCTTTAATATTCACAGATGATGTTATTGTAAGCTGAAAACCCAAAAGAATCAACAGAAAAACGTTTACACAATTAACACAATCAAAATCAACAGGCTTCATATATGCAGACAATAATTGGAAGACTGAGTATAAGAAAAGACCCCATTTTCAATAGCAACAAAAAGCAAGAGAAAATGGCTAAGAATATATTTATATAAGAAATGCATAAGCCTTAGATGAAGGAAATTTTAAGATGAAGGACATGAGACAAGAATTGAATACATGGAAAGACACATTAAGCTTTTGGATAGGAAGGCATCATAAATTTAAAAATTTCCATCAGTCAATTTATAAATATTTCCTGATCCCAAATGGGACAATAGATGTCTAGTTAGCCCCCATATGCATTCTCCCATTCATCCTTTTAGCCGTTCTGGGTCTAGACACTTAAACTGCAGAGGTACATGTGTGCAGAATTGCAGGTGTACATTTGTAGCATTGTTTGTAAGGACAAAAATGAGAACAACCGACATTTTCATTTGCATCAGTTGGAGACTGGTTAAATAAATTATTGTACATTCACACTATGGAATGCTTTACAGTTGCTAAAAAAAAATCTTTGTGTACATATGTGCTTGTCTCTGCAGAGCTATCACTGGAAAGGGATCCAGGCGACTTAGTGGAAAAAAAATGGGAAGGAGACTTACTTTTCTGCTCTATACTATTCTTTTAAACATTTGGTACCGTGTGCATATATTTACCTATTCAAAAATAAAATCATTTCTTTAAGAAAAAAGTCATAATTAATGAGCCTGAGAGTAGGCCCTCAAGTAGGGCAGGGCACACAGGCTGTTGAATGGTTGCCCAGGTCTCCTTGCGGCTTATGCAGGATTCATCTGCTATTTATTTACCTACTGTGTGCCCAGCACTGTGCTAGGGTATGCACCTGATATTGGTGATAAAAAGGCAAGTATGAACTATGACATAATGTGATCAGATGATTTTAAGTTGAGAAGGAAATTGATATGGTTAAGCTTTGTGTCCCCACCCAAATCTTATCTTGAATTACAATCCTCATAACCCCCATAATCTCCGTGTGTCAAGGGAAAGACCAGGTGGAGGTAATTGATTCATGGGGGCAGTTTCCCCAGTGCTGTTCTCATGATAGTGAGTGAGTTCTGATAACATTTGATGGTTTTATAAGGGGCTCTTCCCCCTTCACTCAGCACTTCTCCTTCCTGCCGCCTTTTGAAGAAGGTGCCTTGCTTCCCCTTTGCCTTCCGCCATTATTGTAAGTTTCCTGAGGCCTCCCCAGCCATGCTGAACTGTGATTCATTTAAAACTCTTTCCTTTATAAATTACCCAGTCTCAGGCAGTTCTTTATGGCAGTATGAAAACGGACTAATACAGAAATGAATCATTATCATTGAAACTTTTATCACTTTAAAGACAAGAGATTGATTTTGTTCTGGCCATTTTCTTGAACAACTACATCTGGGGGTGTAGTACTGAAAATTCAGCACTCTCTGGAACCCACGTTCTCTCCCTTCTGGGTTAGGGAATAACATCAAGTCTCCTTCCTTTGAGCCCTGGATCAAAGAGACCTGATAGGTGATTGATTGTGTGGGCAGAATGGAGACTTGGGAAATGGAGTCACATTCTGCCCTTCATTGTCCCTCAGGAACTACTTATGCCCTCATTGTTTTATCCAATTTTAGGTGTGCTTTTAAATGTACATATCACATACACTTTTCCACTGTGGAAAAGACACAACCACAAACTCCAGCATGAAGAACAGCCCAGTTGACCTCCCTCATCTTTACAATAGGACAAAACAGCTTCTTGAGTTCATTGGAAACAAAGCCTTTCCTACAGGGATGAGACCTTTTCCCATTGTTTATTTATTTATTCACTCAAGAAACATTGAACTCCTACTATAAAAATTGCCCTTCCTATAAATGAATGAATTCAAGCTACAGAGGTTAAAAGGCTTAGAGAAAATTATCCAGCAAGCAATGAAAATTTTGAGTGTCGACTCCAGGGACGCTTGGTTTTAAATCCATGCAATAAATCATTAAACTACACACAGACACACACACAGCAGTTTAATTAATGTTGAGCAACAGGTTTTTAAAAATTATTCCTCATTTGATTTTTATTTGTGATAAGAAAATGTAAAATAATCATTTTTAAAGATTCATGCATAGCCCACTATTCTCACTTTTCCAGCCCTTGTTTGTACAAAACTATATTTTCAACAAACTGTAGCCAGCACATTTTTATTCTTCTTTTGTGTTTAATATTACGGTATTTTCCATTTTGCTATATAATCATAATCATTGTTTTATTGCTGCATAATATTCTATCAAATTGATATACCATAGCTTAGCTATTCCCACATAATTGGACATTAAATCCTTCCGATGTTTTGTTGTTACAGGTAATGCTGCTGTGATAACTTCATGTGTGTAGCTTTTCCTTTCCTTTAAATTATGTCCTGTGAAGAGATTCCCAGGAGTGAAACTACTGAAAGATAAGAAAGAGTGGTATAGTTGAGATGAAATTAGCATTAGGAACAGAATTGAAGACAAAGATCAGCCCAGCAATGGCCCATTCCCCTGCAGGGAGAATTCTCAACCAGATATTGACTGGTTTAATTGATTTCGTGGTGTTCCTGCTCATCATGAATATATCCACAATAACCACATCAGGTGAGTCACTGTTGGACAATTCTTAACATTTACGATGAGCAATGTCGATCCTACAGCTATATCGTATTGATCTCCTTCGATACTGCTCTCGTTGGTCTGTGCTCCTCCTATTTTGTCTACAGATAAAAAGTGTAGAGTCATGAAGAATCCAGGATTTAAAGACTAGAGGTCTGGACTGAAGTTGTCTTCTACTTAGCACTTGTGTGATTTTTTAAGCTGATCACTTACCTTGTTGATCCTGCAAAATGAAGCCTGTCTTTCAGGGTTGTGGAAAAACTCAAAAGAGCCAATACATATGAAAATCTTTTTTTAAAAAAAGCAACATATACATACGTACTTCAAAATTTTTTAAAAATTTCTGCTATACGGAGTGAACAGAACCAATCTGAAGCAGGATGCAACCCAGTCAAGCGAGAACACTGTACTCAACCTAAAAAAGTGACTCTCAAGAGGTACCTGGTAATTCAGGTAGATTTCTTAATATAAAAAGGAGTATTTTCAATTTCTGGTTCTGTAGACCCACCTTCCCCAAACTTCACAATGGTCCCAGACACTTGGGAGAACTTGAATGCTTGAGATGCAAAGTGCTTTGGGTAACTTCTATTTAATCTGCTCAGCTCAGCAAAGCTGTGGGTAAATATTCAAAAACACCCAAGGGTTTGTCTAGAGCAACCTCCCCAATCTGGGGAATTGCACACAGCCAGAGCTTGCTTGGGATGGCCTTAGCCACAGTCCTCCTTCCACTGCCTGGCCCCTGCCTGTTTCACATCATCCGCCCGTAAGCAATGTGGTAAAGCAGATTCCAGTCCCTCGTGAATTCCCCAAAGGTGCATTTCAATATGAACCCCCTTGATTTGCCATTCTCTTTTGCCTCTACCTAACTTTAATAACTTTTCCCTAATTTTTACCAATATTTTCCACTTGGGGCTTTTATTATTTAGATGTCTTTTTCTTACCTCATGTATTTGCATTTCCTTTGTAGAAGAGAAGGGGAGAGTGGCAGTTCCTGATTACTTGAGAACTTCAGGGTGAGTTCATAGTGCTTCTAAAACACCCTTTTCATTTACTAACCCGTAAGAGCAAGGCTGAGGCGCAGGCATTGATTTCTGCATTCTGTGAAGGGCTTCTGCTCCTAGCAGGACAACAGCATCTGTAACAACTACAAAGCCAGGAGCACCAGGAATGCACACTTAGCTCTGCGTTCGTCCCAGCCTTCAGTAAATAAAAACCCCATGCCACCATCTTTCTTTGCCTGGATAGAAGCAGCAGATGCTTTGTGCTGGCCCAGAGAATTCCTTTTTTCACAAATGCAATGAATAAGAACACTCGACAGAGGAACACAAGGAGAACTGGAGGGAAGTTGTTAATACTCGCTTTGGGCAAAAATGCTTGTTGAGGTAGGAGGAAGATGTTTTAAAAAATGAAAATGGCAATAAATCAATGCACTCTTACAAAATATGGGAGGAGAGAATGAGAAAATAACAATGAGGCCAGAGGGAGGCAAATGACATGTTGCAACCTGTGAGAAAAAAAAAAAAAATTAACAAGGTCTTTATGTAATGGCGTGTACCACACAATGCACAGAAAACCATCTCTGATTTATTAGTTTCCCATGAGGGAAGTTGAGAAATGCAGAAGGCATGCATTAAAGGGTTGTCTTGCTAGGCAGAGTTTTGACTTTTAAGGACAAGCGTAGAAAGGCATCTCTTCCTGGCTTGAGGAGCTGGCAATTACCAGGGAGATGCCTGCCTTGAGATTTGACCTGAGTAAAGGCATCTGGATATTTTGTGCCTGGGAAGATTTGAGTCCTTCCTGATAATGAGGAGGCTGCGAGGGAGATTCTCAGCGAGTCTGCAAAGTCATGGTGAACTTGTTTCTTTTGTATTCCAATGCACTCCTTATGTCCCACTAGCAGGCAGGAGGCTCTGGGACAAGGCAGTGTCGGGGTCTTAGGCCTGGTCCTTGTCCTCAGAGTCAGCCCTATGCCAGGTATCCAGTACAAAGTTCCAAAGGCAGGCAGGGCACCCTTTCCTTCCATAAGGTTTCAACCTTAGTAAAATCTCAGCCCAAATTTTAGGTTTGGGAGGAGAAAAAAGTCTGCCCTAAGAATTGATAGCCTTCTCTCAGACAGGCTTGGGGTCAAATTTACTGACTCTGTGGTCTAGAAACCCCCAAGCTAAGAGATACATGTGAAAAATGGCCCTGGCAGGGGAAGGATTGATCTCAAGCAAGTGTCACTGGGGGAGATTAATTTGAGTAGCCACATGGGGAATTAAAAACTGATTCAGTGGGGGAGGGTAGGGACCAACATTAAATCATTTAGGTGCTCTCCCCAGCCCCACCCTCTCCCTACTCCCCCTTTCCCTCTCTTGTTAAATCTCTTCCTTGTAGAACCATTATTCATTCATGATGGTCATGGGAAATCTTAGCCACTAAGAAGATTGCTATAATCGCTCTCAACCTGCCTACACCCTATTTGTCACTTTGTTTTGCTATCAAGAAAATATTACTCACTCTTCCTTGATATTTTTTTCTCAGTCATAATGAGATCCCTCTCTCCTGTAGAGGAAGGAAAGGATTTTCTTGAATTACTGAAAGACTTTCCAAATTACGAAAAACATTAACAAAGGCAGTCAGAATGAAAGCTTTCTTCCCCAGACATTGCCTGAGGCAGACATGTGATGCCCCCATGTCAGCCACACAAAGTTATTGGGGTAAAATGTATGGTTTGGTTTTGAAACATGACAGACAGCTGGACACAACTGTCATGATGGGCATTTTCCACATGCCCATGACAAGAGGGTTATATGCGTGGACAGAAGGGCTGAAAGATTCATTATTGTCTATACCACTACCACAGAACTATGAAACTTGACTATGGAGACATCTGTGATATTTCACAAGGACCCAGTACTCTCAGGCATGACTGCACCATTGGGCTCTTGTATCACATACTCACTCCATAGCCTCCATGGTATGGTTTCTGTTCCCACCACTTCATTAAAATTCTTTTCACACATGATCTGCCAAATCCAACAGCATTTTATCTGCCCTCATTCCATTCTACATTTTAGTACAAGTGTGCAGTGTGGAAACTAATCTCTTCCTTATTGAACCTCCTTTCTCTCTTGGGTTCCGTGACACTCCATTCCCAATAGTCTTATCCTACATCCATCTTTCTGCATGATTACTCTTTCTTGTGCTTAAAAGATGGATACTCCAAGTCTCTGTCCTAGATCTCTTCTCTCATGGGCAATTTAATCTGCTTTAACAAGTTTTACAACATCTCCACAGTGATTATTCCCAAAGATATAATATTCATTGACAATATTGATTGGACACTCACCACATGTTAGGTACTGAATTGAACCCCAAATTCAAAGTTGTGTATGGTTCCGTACCCTCTAATCATTCTCCAGTTATGCCCTCTTTTCTGAGCTTTGATTCTGCTGGACATTTCCATCACGACTGTTACTGAACTGAACCACCTGGGGCAGCAAAGTCAAACACTGACATTGGGATTTGCAGGGAGACAACATGAGGCATTTATTGCAGAACATCAGGTGAGGAGAATCAGATAGCTCATGCTTAAGACTCCAACTCCCAGATGGCTTATGAATAAGAGTTTTTTGTTTGTTTGTTTGTTTGTTTGTTTGTTTTTTTGACAGAGTTTTGCTCTTGTTGCCCAGGCTGTGGAGTTCAGTGGTGTGATCTCGGCTCACTGCAACCTCCAGTTCCCAGGTTCAAGTGATTCTCCTGCCTCAGCCTCCCAAGTAGCTGGGATTACAGGCACCCACCACCACGCGAGGCTAATTTTTGTATTTTTAGCAGAGATGGGGTTTCACCATGTTGGCCAGGCTGGTCTCGAACTCCTGATCTCATGATCCACCTGCCTCAGCCTCCCAAAGTGCTGGGATTACAGACGTGAGCCACCGCACCCGGCCATGAATAAGAATTTTTAAGGACAGGGAGGCAGAGATTGTGAGCAAAGTTGTAAATCAATATATGGAGGGTATACATTGGTTTGACCTAAAAAGAAAGGATACCTCAGAGTAGGGATCCACAGGCTATAGGTGGATTTAACTATTTTATGAATTGCAATTGGTTAAGGAAGAAAAGCTTTGCTTAAAAATTTGGGGTCAGTAGGAAGATGCGTTAGGTCTGGCTCCTGGGTGTAACCTCCTCCAGGCCCCTCAGGAAGAACCCAGTTTCCCTCATCTGAAGTCTCTGTGCCAGCAGGCCACATCTTTCATGTGGTGGGGGTCCAGGTTTCTGAAAAACAACTCAAGGACATGTTAAGATGCTATTTTTAGTTTCTATAGGGAACCAAATATTTTGCGACTAACTTTCTTGGCGATTGTTTTAAGCTACTACTACCTTCTTATTTCTCAGGTTGCTCACTTACTTCTCAAGGATAAGGTGCCTTGAATTTCCCATGAAGGAACTCAAGATTTTCCTTTATTTCCAAGCTTGGTGGGGCGTGCCCAGCAGGCCCCTAAGAGGAGTCTCTGTTCCATCTCACTGCCTCATAGACATCTCAAGCACATTATGTCTAAAACCAACCTCATTTTTGTTTTTTTTTCCTCACAATCTGCCTACCATTCATCTGTTCCTTACCTCGGTTCTCGGCATTTCCGTTTTCCAGGAGATACTAATTGGAACCCTCTCGATTACCTTTTGTTTCTTCTTCCTCATCTCATATTCAATCAGTCAAGTCCTAGTGCCTTTAGCAGTTGAAGTTTTTATCTCTCATTCTGTCTAATCTGTAGTTCAGATTCTTATCTTCTCTTACTTGAGCAATCATGGTAAGTTTCTAATTGGTTTCCCTGTCTCTAAATTTCTGTTAATCTAAATTCATGGCCAAAGTTATCTTTCTAAACCAATGATCAGATCAGGCTCAAAAACCTCCAGTGATTTTTCTATTGGCTAAAGAATACTTGTTTTATTACAGAACAATTATTATCTGTCATCAAACTATACTTTCAGATTCATCTTGAATACCTCCTTTCTGTTTTTCTTTTTCTTTTTTTTTTTTTTTTGAGACAGAGTCTTGCTTTGTCACCTAGGCTGGAGTGCAGTGGTGCCATCTCGGCTCACTTCAACCTCTGCCTCCCTGGTTGAAGCGATTCTCCTGCCTCAGCCTCCTGAGTAGCTGGGACTACAGGTGCATGCCACCACGCCCAGCTAATTTTTTTTGTATTTTTAGTAGAGACTGGGTTTCACCATGTTAGCCAGGATGGCCTTGATCTCCTGACCTCATTATCCATCTCCCTCAGCCTTCCAAAGTGCTGGGATTACAGGCGTGAATCACTGCACCAAGCCGAATACCTCCTTTCAATTGCTCTGGATGACTCTGCATTCCTAACTTTCCATCTGTTTTCACAGGGACCTTTGTTCATAGCTGTGAACCATAGCCTTGAATCTTGGTCTTTACCCATATAAATTATGCTCATTTGTTAAGAGTGTGTGGGAAGACAATCAAGTAAGAGCCCTAGGTGTTTGGCCTGAGGAAGTGGGCAAATGGCAAAACTATTGGCTGAGACGGAGAAGGTTTTAGTGAAGAGAAGATACTTGTGCAGAGGTTGTGGGGGGCAGGTGGGAGTGAGGGGGAGTATCTGTAGTTTGGCCATGTTGAGTGTGAGACATTGATTAGACATGCAAACAGAGATGCTGAGTAGGCAGTATGAGTTTAAATTGAATTGCGGCTGGGCGTGGTGGCTCACGCCTATAACCCCAGCACTTTTGCAGGTCAAAATGAAAGAACTGCTTGCAGCCAGAAATTTGAGACCAGACTGAGCAACATAGCGAGATTCCGTCTCTAAAAAAAAAAAATAATAATAATAGAAAAGAAAAAAAAAAAAAGAAATACCTGGGCACGGTGATGCATGCCTGTAGTCCCAGCTACTTGGGAGGCTGAAGTGGGAGGATCACTGGACCCCAGAAGTTTGAGACCACAATGAGTTATGATTGTGCCACTGTACTCTAGGCTGAGTGACAGAGCAAGAACCTGTCTCAAAAATAAATAAATAGATCTGGGGAGTTTTATAGATTATATATATAGATTAAAGTCACAGAACTATGTAAGACCAAATAAGGATAGAAGAGTATTTAACAGAGAGAGAAAGCCAATGAACACAGCTATGGCCACTCTAACATTTAGAAGTCTGTAGGGGAGGCAAATCCAACAAATGACCTTGAAAAGGCAAAATTGACAAGGTAAGAGGAAAACCAAGTGGGTTTGTAGAGTTCTAGAGAAGAAAACCTTCAAAGAAAGAGCAGTGATCGACCAGGTTAGATGCTTCAGGGAGCTTGAATAAGATGAGATAATGTACTGACTACTGACCTCAGCTAAACATAGGTCATCAATGACTTTGGTAGGAGCAGAATCAGTGGGAAAGTGGGACAAAGCAGGGGTTAGGGTGCTGGTAATCTGGCTCTCCAAAACACAAAAACAAAATCCTGATTTATAGCATTTGCCAATTTCCATGAAATAAATATTCCCAAAGAGCTGGTTTCAAGCTAACAACATGACATCACTGAACCCAAAAATGGGAAGAGATGCCGCAATAGGTTCTTGCCAGCAGCTCCAGCACACGTGGGACTGAAGCCTGACTCTGTGGACACAGGACAGGAGAGGCAGTCATGGGAGGCAGCAAGAATTAACCACCTTTGGGAGGAGTTTTGATCAAGGGTCAGTAAGCTTTCAAATGATTTGCACAAATCAACTTAATCCTAACAACAGCCCTCCAAGGTACTTACTAATATCTCCCTTCTATGGGTGAGAAGACTTAAACTTATGGATCACTACGCAGAAGGAGGATATGTTGGATTCCCTCAGTCCAGATATCAAACCAAGTAATGTTAACAGGAAATAGAAACATCTTTCTTCCCTTTTCTTGGTGTCCTGTGATAAAAATAGAGCAACTTTTAGCTAATGCTCAAGCTAATCCTTTTCTCCTTCTATTATTATTCACTGTTTAGATAGACACAGAAAGAAGACATCAACAGAAGTAGCTCGTGTTTAACATGATGGAATTCTCATAGGCAGTCCTTGAAGCAGTGTGAGCTGATGAGCATTACACTGTTAATTTGTGAATTGTTTAATTGGTACTTGGCAACAAAGTCCATCTTTGACAAGGCTGCAACTTCCTGAACATTTATATTTAGGATCCTCCTTCTTTCTACATTATTTTCTCTCCCTTTAAGCACTTCCAATCTTCAACCTAGACACCCAGTACTTTTGCTGCAGTCTGATTTCTCATATATCTATCCTTGTTGTCTAGGAAGCCTGAAGACCCACCTGGAATGTGAATAAGGTAAGTCCCTTCCTAAAATGTCAGTGATGTTGGATTTTTGTCTGGTGTTGTTGGACCTAAGGAAAAATTCATGGAAATACAAGAAGGTGTTGGTCGATTCAGTTCTTCCTTGTGTCTGGGGTTTCCGGAGGAGGAGGAGGAAAAGGAGGAGACAGAGGAGGAGGAGGTAGGAGGTGCTTCTCTTCCTCTGGTTCACAACCTTCACATTCCCTTGCATAGATGGGAAACCTGAGCAAAATACTCCAAAAATAAATAAAAATTAATATATTATTTAAGAACCAATATATCAAAACATCCACTTAAATAACTATCTTTCTTTTTAGAGTTTTCAGGTGATGGCAGCCTTATTTTAGGGAGCCTAATTCCTCTTCTGAAATTGTCTTCAGATCCAATTTTCATACCACCTGTGAGTACCAATCTCATCTAGATGGTCACCTCCTTTTTTGACTTGAGGGTATATTGTTCATATTGATCACCTTCCTAATAGTAATAATAGCTATGCAATATTTTCAGACCCTGTCTTAAGCATTTTAAATGTATTACTTTATTTAATTCTGTGACAGTCTTATGGCAGCAATCCTATGACAAAAGTAATCAGTCAGAAAAATGGAAACCTTGTTAAGTGTTCTAAACAGATTGTGATTTAATATAAGGAATTTCCAATTGAGAAAGACTAGAGAACAAAATGTTAAGAAAGGCCACCACTAACTTTCAGGTTCACCATGTGGCCTGAGGAATCAGGAAATTGCTGCTACTGCTCATGTTAGGAAATTACAAGAAGCCTTCACCAATGGTCATAATCAACCTACAGCACAAAGGTGAGTGGGTTTAAGGGGAGTGCCTTGAGGTCACAGTGCAGCCTCGTAATGCCTGGGCTCCACACATCTCTGCACTACTGTACACCACCAGCAAGCTAATATGGGTTCAGTCTCCCTGTCCGAATTTCACATCAGAGCCTCTCATTCCATTTCCAAGAAGCCTGGAGACAAGGTAAGCTGGGAAATGTTCTTTCCTGTGATATGGGGAAGATGTTAGAAGAGATTGGAAATGAAAGCTGGTGGCCAAAAATATTTATCACTGTTATTGCTCCCATTTTTAGGTGATTATCCTGAATAAATTGCCACAGAAATTAAATAGTACAACCATGCTTTGAATACAGAGCTTCCCTAGTCCAAGCTCATGCTCTTACCCATTAAAATGTACTTGGCTGTGGTTGACTTTAGGTTGTTTTCAATGAATACATATGCCTTCAACAAATAGATATGAAGCTATTAAAGGTTTTCAAAAATGGTTCTGAAGTGAACTCCAAAAGAGGAGCTCCAAAAATGCTTTGCATTACAGTGGTAACATTAGAGAAAAACAAAAGGCTTCCCAAGCTGTTAGAACCATTTTGGGGCTGTATGAATTATGAAACTTGTAACAGCTCAACATTTCTGCTCAGACATGACATATAGCATCTCTGCTTGCATTCCACTGGTCAAAGTACATCTCAGGGCCAACATCAATGGAACAGGATGGACACTCCTCATTGGAGGTACACAAGTCCTATAACAGTGGGCAGTATAGAAAAGTGGGAAGTGGCCAGGCATGGTGGCTCACGCCTTTAATCCCAGCACTTTGGGAGGCCGAGGCAGGTGGATCACTTGAGGTCAGGAGTTTGAGACCAGACTGGCCAACGTGGTGAAATCCTGTCTCTGCTAAAACTACAAAAACAAAACAAAACAAAACAAACCCACAAAAAAATTAGCTGGGTGTGGTGGAACACACCTGCAGTCTCAGCTACTTGGGAGGCTAAGGGCACAAGAATCAACTGAGCCTGGGAGACGGAGGTTGGAATGAGCTGAGATCACCCCACTGTACTCCAGCCTGGGCGACAGAGTGAGATTCTGTCAAAAAGAAAAGAAAAAGAGAAAGAAAAGTGGGAAGTAAATATTTGGAAACAGAAAATAATTGATTGCAGTAATGTATCAAAAAATAACAGGAAATGAAGGAAACAAACTAACCAAGGAACAAGTACAATAACAGCAAAATTGAAAAGTGAAAGGTGTTTCCCAAAAGACAAAAAAATAGAAATATGTCACTTCGTGCATTAGACTCAGGACAAGATTAAAAGGAAAGACTCCTCTTAACTGAAGAGGAAACAGACTTTTGGGACTGAAAATACAGGAGTTTTCAAAGACCCCCTTGGATATCAGCAACCTAATTAATGTCAAAAGCAACATTCTGCAAACCACACATACTGAGTGAGGGAAGAATACAGTTAGAGATTGCTCAGATTAATTAAATGTGCTCAAATCTCCAAAACCCAATCATTTATATATAAGTTTGCTCAAAGGGCTAGCTGAAATTATCCAAGAGCCATAGAGGTAATCTTTAGAAAATTATTAAGGACAAGCATATAAAAGGAGAAAAATATATTGCATATCATTTAATTCCTTTTTCTTTTCATTTATTTTAATGTGATGGATAAATTCGCATAGTAAAACACTTCTTACTGTTTGCTTCCAGAAAAATTATGACAATAGACTAGTTCCAATAATACAGAATAATATATTATGACCAAGTGGAACTTATTCCAGAAATGCAAAGCTGGTTAAATATCAGTAAATTCATTAATGTAATTCAACATATTATTAGATCTGAGAGGGAAAAAAAACTATATGATGTAGCTGTAGATGCTGAAAAAATATTTGACAAAATTGACACCCATTTATGATTCAAAACCCTGAAAAAAATAGAAGTCAGATATTTCTTAAATAAAAAAATATAAAAGTATCTGAATATCTGTCCATGTTAGCCCCCAGACTAGCATCTTATTTGATGGAGAGACACTGGAGACATTCCTGCTAAGGTCAGGAGCAATAAAGTCACTACTATTTCATATCGTATTTGAAGTATTAGCCAACAATTTAACATATAGAAATCTAATAGTCTTTATACACAGAAATAATAACCAATTAGAAGATATAATGAAAACAAAGACCTCATCTACAATAACAAAAAGATGTATAAAATACTTAGATATGATTTTAACAAGAAATGTCTAATAACTATATAAGGAAAACTTGGAAACACTCCTAGAAGACATGAGGACCAAATTAAACAGATGGAAAGTCATACTGTATTCTTGGATAGAAAGATCTGAGATCACTGGAACTCTGGGAGTAGAGACCAACTCTGCATACACTGCCACCCTGCCCTGGCCTCGGCAAAGGGGTGATGTGGGAGGACACATTTTCATTCACTGCCCCTTCATTAAGTCCTGTGACTCTGTACCTGAGTGACTGTAAGGTTAAAAAAAATGAAAGGGAATGATTGTAGCTATAAGTTATCCTGGGTGCTAAATATGACTATTCTTGGAGTCCAAGAGAGAAGAAAAACAAGAAGTTAAAATTTGTATGGGGGCGCTTTCACAGTCTTGCCTCCTGTATTGAAATCTGCCCTCTTTTTTTTTTTTCTTGGAAAGAGATCCACTTTCCTCTATCTTAAGTAATAAAAATTATATTTTTCTTTTGGAAAAATCCTGCCACCTCGTAGGATTAGGACCCTACTTTCTTCTACTGCCTAGCTCAGTAATCCACTCTAGTCTCCAATTCTAAACAATTCAGTGAAGATACCATCACTGGAGGTAAATAGAGGTGGTGGGATCTTCACTAAAGTAGCTGGGCTTTGTCACTTCAAGTTCAGCACTGACCACCTCCCCCTCCAACCCTGTGAGCTCTCTCACCTGCACTGAGGTGTACCTATGCAACTTGATTCTTTCTGTGACCCTCCAATGGACATCTACTGGATAAAACATGCTGGCTTGCATCACAGAGTTCACAATTCAAATCCACAGTAATTACAAAAATATTTTCTTTGATGCAACATAATTTCCAGAAGTTCCCTGCCTGTAATGGAGATAACACTCATGAGGGAGAATGGCAGTTCTGCCTTGTTCAGCCTCCTGCTTTCAGGCTCAGCCCAAGCTCCCCTGAACCACAGGAAACAGCCTTTAACATTGTGCCTTTTTCAACAACACAGCCGTCGACTTTCAGTGGTCAACTTTGGGCAGTAGGTAGATCTGGCCAAACAGAAATGGCCCAGGGCCAGATAAACTCCCAGTGGGATATAGTCCCCCATTCATCCCTGTAAATTGACCATGGCACTTGGTAAGGGGATGTGTATTTTTTTCTTCCTCCAATTATACATCACAAAAGATATAGAAGTAGACTTACCAAAATGTTTATACTGATTATTGCCAGGTGGCAGGGAAAAGAAGAGAATTTTTTCTTCTTCTTCTTTATGCTGAGTTTTGCTGATTTTTCTGCAATAGCCCTGGCTTATCTTGCAATTAAAAATAAGTTTTAAAAGGATAAAATGAGGAAGAACAAAGCTAGGGAAAAGAGAATGCCTCACTGCAGGTAAGCATTGTTCATGCACAAGCACCATCAAGGGAATTTGAGCAAACCAGTGAATTAAACAGTATTCAACAGTAAAGGCCAAGGATAAAACAAAATTGGCTGTAATGCCAGCCCTATATGTTAGGTTTTTCAGTTTAATAAATACTTGTTGAGCTCCTATGGTATGCTAGGGGCAGGAAACATAAAAATAATTAAGACACATCCTTGAGTTCCAGGGTATTATGACTTGGTGCACTACCTCTGTGGTCTCTATTCTTTTCCTTACATGGCCTCAAAGCATGGATTCACACATTCTCCCTACATGTTGTTTCTCCTTAATTATGAGTTAACAATGTACATAATGGACAAGGCAGCCACTTGGGACTAGTGCATTTGGAGTTCTGCAGGCCTAGTTGGTACTCTGACTATGAGAGTTTCCACCCGAATCATTGCAAATATATCATTAGGGAATTGCATTCCACAGTGAATTTTATTTATTATTTTTTAATGTTTGAAATAATTTCCCCATAGGGTAAAGACTTTGTCTTTTTTTTTTGAGACGGAGTTTTGCTCTAGGGGCAGTGGTGCAATCTCGGCTCACTGCAACCTCCGCCTCCTGGGTTCAAGTGATTCTCCTGCCTCAGCCTCCCGAGTAGCTGGGACTACAGGCGTGTGTCACCATGCCCGGCTAATTTTTGTGTTTTTTAGTAGAGATGGGGTTTCACCATATTGACCAGGATGGTCTCGATCTTGACCTCGTGATCCGCCCACCTCGGCCTCCCAAAGTGCTGGGATTACAGGCGTGAGCCACCGTGCTCGGCCGACTTTGTCTTTTTTAAGGTTGAATCCCCAGCGCGTAAAACAATGTCCGGCATGTAGACAATCAATCAACGCTTGTTAAATGGAAAAAAATTACTTCAGCAATGGAAGCGTGGAAGTAATGCCCTTACGTTTGACTGTGTTTTATCTAATATCATTGGGCCGACTCAGGAATTCTTGTGAAGTGATAAATTCTAAACTGCAAATTACTTTCAAATATAGTGATTTTAAAATAAGTAATAACCTTAAATGTGTAGAGGAATTGACATCATGGTATGCCAATAATCCTTTGTTAATTTTGATGTTGGTGGGAGTATTTTGTGTATGATCTAGCGCTAATACCTTTTTCATGTTTTAGATATTCTCATAAAGTAACAGTTTGTTGTGTGTGTCCTCTCTCTAAAGAGTGTAATAATAAAATGGCCCTGTAGCAATGTGGAGTGTGGAGAGACAGTGAAAGTAGACTGCATAGAGGAGGGGGCATGGATGAGGATTAGGAAGGAAGGTAGTTTCTTGTCTACTTTAAATTAAATCTAGCCAGTGTGAGCTTCCCCGTCCTGATGGGCTGGGTCCTGCTCTAGGGTGACCACCTGACACTGGTTTTATTCAATCCTGCTGCAGGAGTCTTCATGAACCTTTTGTTCACAACCTCAATCAGTGAAGAGAGGAAGTCCGCTTTCAGCTCCTCTCCAGGATCCCCGTGGGTGGCTTCCCTCCACCATATGTTCCTCCGAAGCTGTGCTGCCCAGCCACTTGCCTTGGGGCTCGGTACAAATGCATCTTGGAGGTGAAGTGCTGGGGAAGACGAAAGTGCTCTTTCCAGATGGCACCAAATTAGCCTCTTGAGATACGGATTTGCCGGGAATATGTTTATAAGGAAAGCAAACAAAGGAGTCCCTGGAGATTTTAAACAGTCTAGGGCCTTGGGTGGGAAATGGGGGAGGTAAGGAAGAAGGCTGGGGAAAGAGGCTGGAGAAGGCAGTAGGGCAAGGGAGGGGGGCATCTATCCCAAACCCACCCACAGCCAACTCTCGCCTCCTCCTGGCCATTCACAAGGAAGCCAGTTTCATTGCCAGACAACACACATTATCAGTATGATTTAAAAATAATGATCTGATTAATTTAAATGTGAATCTGATTGCCTTTAATATTGAAACACTGGCTCTAACAACGCCTTCAAGAGCTTAAAAAGAAGTCTTGCTTGTCTTATGTAGCTAGTGTTTATTTTGTACTTACTATGAGTCAGGCATTATCACATTTAATTCACAAAAGTCACACCAAGAGGTAGACATGATTACAATGTCTATATTACAGATAAGGACACAAAGGTTTAGAGAAGTTTTAAAAAGGTAAAAAAACATATCTAAGATTACATATCTAGTAGGTGGCACCTCTGAGCTGTATACTCAGGGTTGTGAAACCAAACTCAGTGTTGATAACCTCAATGCTCAACTGCCTCTACGTAGCTGAAGCACTGCCTCCTGCCCTCTGCCCTCTCTGCTTCCCAGAATCATCACCCTTTTCTGTGAGTTCTTCTTTATTGGCTGAGAGACACCAGACCCTTCATAATCCTGATTTCTCTCCTCAGGTTCTCAGTGATCTAGTGCTTCACACTATACTTGATCATGTTGCCCAGCTAGTGTTGGGTTGATTATTGTTTTCTTTGTTTTATCAAGAATGACAAACAAGAAGCTGTGTTGGGTGAGTGTCCCCAGAAACTGATCCTGAGACAAAGATTTAGGTGTGAGTGGTTTATTTGGGAGGTGATTCCTGGAAGCATCTGTGGAGGACTGGGGAGGTGAGACAGACTGGAAAGGCATCCAATGGTGACTGCCATGGGCAACTGAGACTTAACTTGCTGGTGAACTGTGGGAGAGGCTGCAGAGCACACCTGAGAATTTTTCCCTCTAAGGGGCGAGGATGTTAGGGATATTTATCTTCCCACTCTCATCTGTCAGAGGGATTTACTTCACAGCACTCCCAGCCTCCCCCATGTGCAGATCAAGAGAAAGTGCCTAGGCAGAAGTTGCAGGTGCTTGCAACAGGACACACTGGAATAGAGAGCTCCATGGGGCTGAGCAGGCAGGCCCATGGAGCTCTCTATTCCTACGTTTGTAGCCCTGGGACTCCCTCTCTACACCACAACAGAATCACTCAGTTCTCACAGCCCTTCTTTCTGCTGAGCCCAGATAAGAACTCAGAATCCTTCTCAAAAGCGGTTCTCCAGGCAGCAATTTGCCATTGATTAGAGTTGGTGCTCAAGATAGAACCCATGTTATATCCTTTCTATCTAGTCTTATATTTAACCTTGAAGGACTTCTGCTCCATCATGCAATGATGACTTCTAATGTCACCTTCAGTAATAATATTCTATGACTACATGACCCTATATGTCTATGAACGTGTCTTCGGTTGCATTAGCTTTCTTAGAAGTTTTTCTCTAAACTGTAGAGTCAACTAAACATGTCAAGTCTTTTTCAAAAAGATTGCTATTATTAGTTTTCTATGTCATGTGTCAGCGCAGCTGACTTTCTAAACCTGAGTTTAGGACTTTCCATTGATTCCTTTTAAATTTTATCAAGTTAGTTCAGGTCGATCATTCCAGCTTGTTAGAGGTTTTTTTGCAAAGCAATTCCATTATCCAAGAAATGAGTCATCTCCCCTAACTTTTGGCAGCTGCAAATTTGATAATCAGGTTGGTTTTATTTTCACAAAAAAATTGTTTAAAATATTTAGCAGGACGGGACCAAGGACAAAACCCTTGACTAGAGACCTCCCTTCTGTGGCATGTGATCCATTATTAATGGAAAGGAAAGCCCTGCAACCTGGGGTCACTGAGAGTGCCCAGGGTAGGGATGTTTGAGGTCACTGTGCAGCCTGGATTCTCAACCAGCTGAACCAGTCTAATGGAGAAACAACCTTGGGCTCTTTACCCATAAGGATTTCTCCTCGCCCTTGGTCAGATGGATCCAGCCGTTTTCCCTTGGTGCATTCCCACATCCAAAATGGAAATGCTAACCTCTCTAATGATGCTAGTAAAGCTCTCTGAGATCTCTGGCTGAAAGCTGGTATGCAATGCAGATTCAGGTACTACTTCACGATTGCTACTGCAGTTTCTAAAGCACCTTTCCTTCTTCCTGCCGTGGCTCAGCATGCCCTGTGTTTCTCCTTCAGCATTTTCCTATGGCTAGCATCTGCTCTGTTCTATTCTGACTCTCCCTCCTGAGAGCTAGCCAGCTGTCCATGCCAGGTGATGCTTTGGGAGGACACAGGGCCTGAATGTGTTTGCATGTGTGTAAGTCGGTGTGTGTCCGGGTGTGTTTGTGGAAGCAGGGTGAGGGGAAGAGGAGGAAGAGGAGGGCGTAAAGTGGTTCCAGCCAGCCTGGTTTGCATGAAGCATGTTTATGCACAGTTGGCAAATTTCCAACAGGTGCCATTCACGTCAGTTGGTGCAAGAGGCCCCTTGGCCCCGGCTGATTGCACCACTCTGGGCAGTTGTCCAAAGCAGCATTATCTGTGCCTCTTGCAATGTCAGTGGCTTCCTCCAGCCTGCCCTGTTTGTCCTTCTTAGACCCTCGGACAGGCCCATTCATCCTCAGCAGCACTTCTCAGGGGAAGGGACAGATCTAGAATAGATTAGTAGAAGCAGCACAGAGAAGAGTCCTCTTTGGGTCTGATGGCCTTTTCCAGAAAGAGCAGACTCTTCCAGGTAGTGCTTGCAATGTGAAACCCTAGACACCTTGGGCTTTCCCCCCTTGCCCAATCCCACAGAATTATGATGTTCATCAACATGCATAATTTATGAAAGAACACATAAAAAAGCGCTTTGCACATGTTAAAGTTTTATAAAACATATAAGGTAGTCTTGTGATTTGTGAAGCTTTTATATGTCCCCATACCCATTTCAGGTACATTTACACACACACACCCTCGCATTTGCTGCATTTCACATCTGTTGGGCTGCCCCTGAAGGACACAATCTAATTCCCTGTTATCATGAATAAATAATGATAGCAGAACAACAAAGAAGAACAGGAAACACAAAGTGGTACTACGGCCAGTAAAGCCTCTGTGCATATGATATCCTGAATTTCTTTTATTAATTTCTCTAGTTCTGTTCCATTTATCTGTCTGAGCACCAGAGGGCTAAGCCACAGATACAAGGTCCTCTCTCCTCTGTGATCAGCCACATGTCTCTGCTTCTGTGCATTCTACTCTAGAATGGACACACCTGGTAACATGGTTTGAATGTGACTCTCCATATCTCATGTTGAAACGTGACCTCCAGTGTTTGAGGTGGGCGCAGTGGGAGGCATTTGAGTCTGGGGGCAGATCCCTCATGAATATGTCGTTGCTGTCCTCATGGTAATGAGTGAGCTCCCACTCTGTTAGTTCACGTAAGAGCTGATTGTTTAAAAAGAGCCTGGCACCTCCTCCTCTCTCCTGTTGCTCCCTCTCTCCCCAGGTGACATGACAGCTCCCCACTCACCTTCTGCCATGACTGCAAGCTTCCTGAGGCCTCATGAGAAGCTGAGCAGATGTGAGTGCCATGCTAGTACAGCCTGCAGAACTATGAGCCAAATAAACCTCTTTTCTTAAGTTACTCAGCATCATTTAATGCAATTACTATAATTGCATTCTTTTATAGCAATGCAAAATGGACAAACACACTATGGCTGCCTGACCTTCCATAGTGAAAAGAGGATATTAGGCATGAGTGTATTGTCATTTATAAAGCATGATGCTGATACGTAGAACTGTTTGGTTCTTTCCAGGTAATGCATCCCATTTATGTACAGGGGCAATTCTGAAGCTACATGACATGGAAAAAGACTGTCCTTTTCCCGTTTGGCTACATAGAATGGCAGTGCTTACTGTTGCAAACAGGTATCATAAATGTAAAGGAAACAAGAGTGGCTCTGAGCAACAATAGTCCCAGCGGCTCTCCCTGTACTCCCTGTCTGTTCTCTTCTTCCACCTGGTACTACCCAACTTCTTTACGATATATGCATTCGTCTAGAGCATTGTAGCATCCCAACTCATTTGACCTCTCAACAACCTTGTAAAGTCGGGAAGGCAAGGGCTTTATTATTCCCATTTTAGAAATAATGACTGGTGTTCCCTGGCACCTCAAACACATGCAGTTAGCACCCATACTTCTTTCACAACAGGATGAGTTACTGAAAAATTAACAGTAGTGCTGTTGCTTTTGCTGGGTCAGCTTATTAGCAGAAAAGAGAGAATGTGGAATTGCCACAACACCCTCACGGGAAGCATTGCCAGGCCACTGGGGGCTGAGTTCAAGCCAACTCAACCCCTGGCCATGTAGACAGCCACATTGCACATAAGATGTTTAACTGGTGGCCAACTTTAAGATATTGAGGAGATTTTCCCAGAAACTATGATTTCCAGTTTCTCTTGGAGAAGGTGGAAGATCTCTGAACCTGGAGATGGCAGGGCTTCAAGGTGGGATGGTTGTGGTGGGTGCCAGGAGTCAGTGATGTCCCCGTGGCAGAGTCTGGAAGTGGAGAGTGGGGAGGGGGGCATTAGCAGGTGTCGCTCTCGCAACTTCACATGCCCAAGAACCTGAGCATTGGCAGCGCGGCCTCTGAGGCCTGAAGAGCAGAAGCCCTTCTCTAGTTTCCTTGGCTGTGTTAGCCGGGAGGCTTTCATGAAATCCCAAGGGGGCAGGAAGTAGGGAGGGGTCCCCAAAAAGTAGTCGAGATTGAATCTTTTACCAAATTTGACAAATGAGGGTTTTGTTTTGTAATTTTTATTTAAAAAGTATTTATTTATTCAATGTATTTATTTTTTTAGAGACACAGTCTCGCTCTATTACCCAGGCTGGAGTGCAGTGATATAATCATTGCTCACGGTAGCCTCAAACTCATGAGCTCAAGCAATCTTCCTGCCTCAGCTACCCCAGTAGCTGGGACTACAGACATGCCACCACGCCTGCCTAATTTTTTTTTTTTTTTGGTAGAGACAGGGTCTTGCTATGTTGCCCAGGCTTATCTCAAACTCCTGGCCTCAAGTGTTCTTCATTGCTCAACCTCCCAAAGAGTTGGGATTATAGGCATGAGCCACTGTGTTTGGCCTTTTGTGTTCTCTTATGAGACGGTCAGCCAGCTGTGGTCACAAGAGGAGACACTGGAGAGGCTCAGGAAAACAAGTTCATGATACTCACAGTTCTAGAGACAGGAAGTACACCATGCCAGGCAGAGCCACATGGGGAAGACGCTAGGATGGTCAGGAGGAAGAAGGCAAGACTGAGGGGAAAGTTTAGGTCAGAGCCTTCGCTGGAGTTTTCGGGGAGAGAAAAGGCAAGGTGGGTGAACAGTTTAGGATTGGCTGCTTTGCAGAATTTCACAGGGCCCTAAGCTATAGGGGTGGCACACTAGGGAGTTGCCTGGCACCTGGCCCTGGGATGATTAGGGCAGAGGAATATTGCCTCCTGCGGAGCAAGGGCAGGATAGAGGAGGTGTGTTGGTTAGTTTGCATATCAGAGGCTTGTTTGGAGCTGGATTAGGCTCTGACAATTAGCTGGCTCAGGGAGGGCTGTCTCTCTCCTCCATAAAGTTTTTCAACATGTCAAGACATAATATACAGAAAAATTAAAACAATATGCAATACAGACTTAGAGCCAGATATAACTTGATTCAAAATGAATAAGTTAAATAATGTACTGACTTGGAGCAATCGGCACTTCCTGAGAATCAGGCTTCTCTGTGGCCCATGAGCTTCAGCAGAGACTCCTGTGGGGTATTTGTGTAGGTAGAGAAGATCTCTCCACCCCAACACGGTCTTCCTACTTGAAAACATAACACACTCCCTACTTATATTTATTTTTCATGAATGATTTTATAATTCTATTTAAATCTTTTTTTTTCGAGACAGAGTCTCATATTGTTACCGGGGCTGGAGTGCAATGGCACGATCTCGGCTCACTGCAACCTCAGCCCCTGGGTTCAAGTGATTCTCCTGCCTCAGCCTCCCGAGTAGCTGGGATTACAGGTGCATGCCAACACGCCAGGCTAATTTTTGTGTTTTTAGTAGAGAAGGGGTTTCACCGTGTTGGCCAGACTGGTTTCGAGCTCCTGACCTCGTGAGTAATACCTGTTCATTGTACCTAAAATTCAGAGAAAAAGTTGGGGGATATTTTTAAAAACACACTTGAATTCCTGTTATGCAGGAATACTTAATATTTTGGACACAGAGTTATGAAGAAGCTATGGAAAAACTCAACTGTTTCTCTCCCCATCCCCCATGTATGTGTGTATGTATACACTCATGTATGTGAACATAAGTACATAATTATATTTATATGTACATCTATATATCTACACCTATTTAGGTTCAGTTTGCTAAAGCCGAAATCCTCCCTGCTTTAAATCACAGAGGAAGGCCTCCTTCCTCAGTTCACTGGTACTTTCCTAGCTCTACCTCTTTCTTACTGGTTTCTATGTTCTTTCTTACTGATTACTTCTTTTTTCACCCTGGGCTACTGCTTCCCCTGCCTCTCCTATCTGTATATACTTCAAATGAGGAGGGTAAAAGGTAGCATGTAATTACAAAAGGACTTCAAATATTGCACAGTCAAGTTCTAAACAATCTTTAGAACACCGACTGACTCTGCCAGTCCCAGGACACGTTAGCAGAAAACGGGACCCCTTGGTGCTGTGGTGCTGTGGGCATGGTGTCTGCCAGCCAGTGGCTCCATTTGGGCACCTTTGTCATCTTTGCTGATTGTCTCGGCTTATGCAATTTTTTTATTTTTATTTTTTATTTTTTTGCATTTTGCCGTTTCTCATTTATAAAGTGAGTAAAAAATGGGTACATGAAAGTGATGGTTCTAGTGGTAAGAAGACTAATTAAGTTGATACAAAGAGCATTGAAGTGTGAAGTCTTCAGCCTCAGCGAGATGTTTATTAGACTTAAGCCGGTCAATCGCATGCCAGTGATAAGGAAAGAAACAAAAGTCATTGTGTTAGCTACTATAGATATAGAGTGTGTGGTGTAAATAGTGACTTAAAATATTTTTTTAGCTCTCTGGGAATGAAACATTTATTGGCATCTGCTATATATACCAGGCTAAAAAAGTTATTTCCAATTCTGAAATAATTGACAATTCAAAGTTAAATTTTTATGAAGTTATTTTTCTGACTGTAGCCAGAGTTTTTTGATTCTTGAATTCCAAATTATCTTCCTCTTCTTCAACTGTCAATTTTTCCTCCACCACAATAGTGTTCCCTCCTTAGTGATTTTTTTCATACCAGATGATTAATTTATGTTTCAGAAAAATAGAGACACTGAACAATGCTAGGCCTTCGGAACTTTTAACCGTTGACAGAATTTTCACAGAAATGCAGAGAAATGGGGAATATTATGAAGAAATGACATCTAATGCTATTCCACTAAACTCATTTTGATGGTTTCCAACCAACTACTTTGGCTAAATCTTCAATTCCAAGTAGATAGATTTCAGTTATGTTTTTTATTTATCTATATTCAAAATCTATAATGTTAAGTATTATGAAGCAATAGCTAAAGGGAAAAAATCCAAATAAAAAAGTTAAAAAGGGGAAGTTTTGGATAATGGATAGTGTACAAAACAAATCTGTGAGTTAATACCACCTATCTAAATAATTTTGTAATTTTTCATCATTATTTGAAAGATGACAATATGAGGGTTCAGAATCTCTGTTATCCTCAAGAATGATGAAAAGCATACTTTAAAAATTTGATAGCCTGCAGTAAAGTTCTTAATGGTGAAATAATGAGGGCTTTTCTCTTAAGATCAGGAAAGAGACAAGAATGTCCACTATCTCCCCTTTTATCCGCTATTATAGTAGAATCTAGCCAATATAATAAGACAAAAGAATGAAATAAAGGTATAACATAGGAAATAAATAAATAAAACTGTTTTATGCACAAAAAACAATGATTCTGCACATAGAAAATAAAAAAAAATCTATGCAGGTAAAACATATAATTAATAGGTGAATTTTACAATATTACTGAATACACAAATATCCAAAAATCACTTGTATTTCTATACACCAGCAACTTAAAGAAATTAAAAGTTAAATGGTAGAATTCAAAATAGCACAAAATAATCAAATATCTTTAAAATACATGTATTTAAAGACATGCAAGAACTTTATACTGAAAATAAAACTACCTTTATGGAGAGGAATCAAAGAAGACATAAATAAGCAGGAAGCAGAAGGATATACGATTTTCATAAAGTGGAAGGCTCGGTATTTTAAGATGTAATTTCTCCTACAATTTACCTATAGATTCAATGCCATCATAGTAAAAAACCTAGAAGGTGGGTTTTTTGGGGGTAAAAGTTTAAAAGTGATTCTCACTTTCTCTCTGGCTCACTTTCTCTCTCACACACACACATATGTATATAGCAATTTAAAAAGCTAAGAAGATAAAAAATAATATTGAGGTAGAATTTACACTATCAGATATCAAAATTTATTATAATGGTACAGTAATTAAAATAGCATAGTGTTGGGCAAAGACAGTAAGTAAGCAAAAAGAACAGAAAAAAAGCTGTACATATATGGTCACTTATTTACAACAAAGATGTTCCTGCAATGCAGGGAGGAAGAAAATTCTTTTCAATAAATGTGGCTGTGCTGAATGAATAACTGTATTTGAAATAACTCAACTTGAATCCTACCTCACACCATACAAAAAAAATTAAATTCCAGGTGGAATGTGGATCTAAATATGCAAAGTGTAAAGGACTGACAAATTGGACTTGTTAAAATTTAGAACATCTGTTAATAAAATGACAGTAATAAGAAAGTGAAATGAAGGCTGGGCGCAGTGGCTCATGCCTGTAATCTCAGCACTTTGGGAAGCCAGGGCGGGCAGATAACCTGACATCTGGAGTTTGAGACCAGCCTGGCCAACATGGTGAAACCCCATCTGTACTAAAAATACAAAAATTAGACAGATCTGGTGGCATGTGCCTGTAATCCCAGCTTCTCAGGAGGCTGAGTCATGACAATCACTTGAACCCAACAGATGGAGGTTGCATTGAGCTGAGATGATGCCACTGCACTCCAGCCTGTGTGATAGAGTGAGACTGCCCAAAAAGAAAAAAAAAAAGAAAGGAAGTGAAATGAGAAATCCACTGAAAAAAAGATATCTATAGTATATGTAAATGACAAAGAACTCACATTCGAAATATTTTTTAAAACTCCTCAAATCATTAAGAAAAAGGCAACTCAATTTAAAAATGGGCCAAAAACTTTAATGGCTACTTCACAAAATATGGTACCAAATAGCTCAACATCATAATTAATTGAAGAAATGGAATATAAAATCACAATATGATAGTATAATACCTCCCATTCCTCCATTTCTGAATGGCTAAAAGAGGTGGAGGGAGTACCAAGTATAGAATATAGAACAGTGGGGTCATATGCTGTTTGGTGTATCTACCTAGACACATCATAATATATGTTCCTTATAAACCAACAATTCTATCATAAGTGTATACCAATAGACATTTGTGCATATGTGTGCCAAAAGACATGTACAACGTTTTTGTAAGCATTACTTTAATAGATCAAAATGGCAAACAGCAGAATGAATGCTATACAGCCATGAAAATGAATTACTGCTGCATATAATAACATGAAAGAATTTTACATAGTGTTGATGGAACTAAGTAAGGCACAAAATAATATATACCATGTGATTGCCTGTATATAAAGCTTGAAAATAGTCAAACCTAATATGTGGTATTAGAAGTTGGAATATAGGTTAGGTTACTTTTGAGTAGGGATTAATGACTGCATACCTAAGATTTGTGCATCTTTCTGTATAAATATTATACTTCAATTGAAATTAGAATCTTACTTAAAAATAAACTTTTCCACAGCAAAATGTGCCTCTTGTTTTCACCTTTGAATTTATCAGCAATCAGTAGAAGTTCATCATAACCTAACAAATCAAAATTTCTCCATCTGTCTCATTTCCTTAAAGATTGTTTTCAATTCCTTCTGTGTCCAGAATGTTAATCTCAAATATTTCACTTATATTTGATACTATTTTCTTCACTTTTAAATATTTATATCAAAACTTTATACTAGCGCATAGTGTAGTGAGACGTTAAATTGATTTTTCCCAAATTACTTGCTTATCTCAATGTAATTAATTAACTAATATTCTCTTTCCTTTTAAAAGTTCTATACAAAAAAAGTATGTATTCTGCCCTAATAAGTTATTTGTCTATTCTTGCACCAGTACACTTTAATTATAACTGCATTGTAATGTATTTGTAACTTACTGTCTTCTGTCAATTTTTAAAATTTTCTCCCAGAATTGTCTTACTTTAGAATTATTTGAATTTTATTAATTTAAAAATAGAAGAACATTCTATTGATAACCATGTCATCTATTTGGAGAGAATTATTATTATTATAATTCTGAGAATATCATGCCCTTAAGTGTTTTCAGCATTTGTTGATACAATCTCTGTTCTCTCGGTGTAACAGAAAAGGAATCAGGAAATCTAAATTTGAGTTCTTGTTCTTCAACAAAGTAATTGTGTGACTTTGAGACAGTTACCAAAAGGATATCATTTTTTTTATAAATTGATTTTCATAGCTTCTACTTATTTTTTTCTTGGAGAGAATTTGCTTTTGTTGATTTATAATATTTATTTATAAAATAAAAATATTACTTACATCTATTAAGTGCTTGCAAATTTTCTTAATTTGTAAAATACCTAATAATTTGGTAAATCATTATTTTGATGTTTGTTTTTTGTGGAAGGAGAGTTTGAATTTCCTTTTTTGTAGCTTGATTATTTTATTGGGGTTTAATTTACATACAGTGACATGTACAAGTCTCAGTGATTTCTGACAAACCACATACTCCCTGTATCCACCCCCTATCAAGATACAGAACATTCCTTTTTTAAAAAAAGTTCATTTTTATTTCAACAGTTTTTGGGGTACAGGTGGTTTTTGGTTACATGGATAAGTTTTTTAGTGGTGATTTCTGAGATTTTAGTGTATCTGTTACCCAAGCTCTGTGCACTCTGCCCAATATGTAGTCTTTTATCTCTCAGCCCCCTCACAAGCTTCCCCCTTGAGTCCTCAAAGTCCATTATATTATTCTTATGCCTTTGCAGCCTCATATCTTAACTCCCACTTATAACAGAGAACATTATCATACACACTGTATGTATGAGAACACACAATATTTAGTTTTCCATCCCTGAGTTACTTTATTTAGAATAATGGCCTCCAACTCTATCCAAGTTGCTGCAAAAGACATTATTTCATTTCTTTTTATGGCTGAGTAGCATTCCATAATATATATACTACATCTTCTTTATCCACTCGTTGGTTGATGAGGACTTAAGTTGGTTCCATATCTTTGCAACTGGGAACTGTGCACATGTGTATTTTTCATATAATGACTTCTTTTCCTTTGGGTAGATACCCAGTAGTGGGATTGCTGGATCGAATGGTAGTTCTACTTTTAGTTGTTTAAGAAGTCTCCATACTGTTTTCCATAGTGGTTGTACTAGTTTACATTCCCACCGGAAGTATAAAAGTGTTCCCTTTTCATCACATCCACACCAACATCTATTGTTTTTTGATTTTTAAATTATGGCCTTTCTTGCAGGAGTAAGGTGGTGTTGCATTGTGGTTTTAATTTGCATTTCCCTGATAATTAGTGATGTTGAGCATCTTTTCATAGAAAAATAGAATTGTCTATTCATGTCATTTGCCCACTTTTTGATGGTATTCTTTTTATTATATTATATTTTTATTTTTTTTGAGACTGGGTCTCTATCACCCAGGCTGGAGTGTAGTGGCATGATCTCGGCTCACTGCCACCTCTGCCTACCAGATTCAAGTGATTCTCCCACCTCAGCCTCCTGAGTAGCTAGGACTACAGGCATGAACCACCACACCCAGATAATTTTTGTATTTTTAGTAGAGATGGGGTTTCACTAGGTTGGCCAGGCTGGTCTCAAACCCCAGACTTCAAGTGATCTGCCTGCTTTGGCCTCCCAAAGTGCTGGGGTTACAGGCATGAGCCACCGACCACCGCACCCGGCGGGGATTGTTTGTTTGTTTGTTTTTTCTTGCTGATTTGTTTGAGTTCTTTGTAGATTCTGGATATTAGTCCTTTGTCAGATGCGTCATTTACAAATATTTTCTCCCACCTGTCTGTTTACTCTGCTGATTATTTCATTTCCTAGGCAGAACCTTTTTAGTTTAATTAAGTCCCATTTATTTATTTATTTTTGTTTTTGTTGCATTTGCTTTTGAGTTCTTGGTCATGAACTCTTAGCCTAAGTCAATGTCTAGAAGAGTTTTTCTGATGTTATTTTCTAGAATTTTTATGGTTTCAGGTTTTAGATTCAAGTCTTTGATCTATCTTGCGTTGATTTTTGTATAAGGTGAGAGATGAGAATCCAGTTTCATTCTTCTACATGTGGCTTGCTAGTTTTCTCAGCACCGTTTATTGAGTAGGATGTCCTTTCCCCAATTTATGTTTTTATATGCATTGTCAAAGATCAGTTGGTTGTAAGTATTTGGCTTTATTCTTGGATTCTCTATTTTGTTCCTTTGCTCTACTTGCCTATTTTTATGCTAGTACCATGCTGTTTTGGTAAGTATAACCTTATAGTATACTTTGAAGTCTAGTAATATGATGCCTCCAGATCTGTTCATTTTGCTTAGTATTGCTTTGGCTATGCAGGATTTTTTTTTTGGTTCTAGATGAATTTTAGGATTATTTTTTCTAGTTCTGTGAAGAATGATGATTTTTGATGGGAATTGCATTGAATCTGTAGATTGCATTGGGCAGTATGGTCATTTTCACAATATTGATTCTACCCATGAGCATGGAATGTGTTTACATTTGTTTGCGTACTCTATGTTTTCTTTCAGCAGTGTTTTGTAGTTTTTCTTGTAGAGATCTTTCACCTCTTTTGTTAAGCTATATTCCTAAGTGTTTTTTGTTTTATTTTGTTTTTGCAGCTGTTATAAAAGAGATTGAGTGCCTCATTTGATTTTCAACTTGGTCATTGTTGGTGTATAGCAGTGCTACTGACTTGTGTACCTTGATTTTGTATCCTGAGACCTTACTGAATTAGTTTATCAGATCTAAGAGCTTTTTGGATAAATCTTTAGGGTTTTCTGGGTATATGGTCATATAATCACCAAAAAGCAACAGTTTGACTTCCTCTTTTCTAATTGAGATGCCGTTTCTTTCTTTCTCTTGTCTGGTCTGATTGCTCTGGCTAGGACTTCCAGTACTATGTTGAATAGAAGTGGTGAAAATGGGCATCCTTGTCTTGTTTCAGTTCTCAGGGGAATGCATTCAACTTTTCCCCTTGTTGGGTGTGGGTTTGTCATATATGGCTTTTATTACTTTGAGGTAAGTCCCTTATATGCCTATTTCACTGAGGGTTTTTATCATAAAGGGATGCTGGATTTTATAAAATGCTTTTTCTGTCTATTGAGATGATTCTATGGGTTTTTGTTAATTAATTCTGTTTATGTGATGTATCACATTTGTTGACTTGCATAACCATCCCTGCATCCCTGGTATGAAACCCACTTGATCATGATATGTTATCTTTTTTATATAATATTGGATTCGGTTAACTAGTATTTTGTTGAGGATTTTTTTTTATTAATGCTCATCAGGAATATTGGCCTGCAGTTTTCTGTTTTGTTATGTTATTTCCTAGTTTTGGTATTAGGGTGATACTAGCGTCATAGAATGATTTAGGAAGGATTCCTTCTTTATCTTTTGGAATAGTTTCAGTAGGATTAGTATCAATTCTCCTTTGAATGTCTGATAGAATTCAGCTGTCAATCCATCTGGTCCTGGACTGTTTTGTTGGCAATTTTTTTTTTTTTTGAGACGGAGTCTCGCTGTCGCCCAAGCTGGAGTGCAGTGGCGCCATCTTGGCTCACTGCAAGCTCTGCCTCCCGGGTACACGCCATTCTCTGCCTCAGCCTCCCTAGTAGCTGGGACTACAGGCACCCACCACCTCGCCCGGCTAATTTTTTGTATTTTTAGTAGAGACGGGGTTTCACTGTGTTAGCCAGGAGGCAATTTTTTTTTATTACTGATTCAATCTCACTGCTTGTTATTGATCTGTTCACGGTTTCTATTTCTTCCCAGTTTAACCTAGAGGGTTGTTATATTTACAGGAATTTATCCATCTCCTCTAGATTTTCTAGTTTGTGCATGTAAGGGTGTTCATAGTAGCCTTAAATGCTGTTTTGTATTTCTTTTTTTTTTTTTGAAATGGAGTTTTGCTGTTGTTGCCCAGGCTGGAGTGCAATGGTGCCATCTCGGCTCACTGCAACCTCTGCCTCGCGGGTTCAAGCCATTTTCTTGCCTCAGCCTCCCAAGTAGCTGGGATTACAGGCACGTGCTACAACGCCAGGCTAATTTTTTGTATTTTTAGTAGAGACAGGGTTTCTCCATGTTGGTCAGGCTGGTCTCGAACTCCTGACCTCAGGTGATCCCCCCCGCCTTGGCCTCCCTGAGTGCTGGGATTACAGGCATAAGCCACCACGCCCAGCCACTCTTTTGTATTTCTATGGTATTGGTTGTAGTATATCCAGTTTCATTTCTAATTGAGTTTATTCAGATCTCTCTTGTTGGTTAATCTCACTAATGGTCTATCAATTTTGTTTATCTTTTCAAAGAACCTGCTTTTTGTTTCATTTATTTTTTGTATTTTTATTTTTTTGGTTTCCATTTCATTTAGTTTTGCTCTGATCTTTGTTATTTCTTTTCTTCTACTGGGTTTGGGTTTAGATCTTGTTTCTCTAGTTCCTTGAGGTGTGACATTAAGGTGTTTATTTGTGCTCTTTCTGACTTTTTGATGTAGGCATTTAATGCTATGAACTTTCCTCTTAGTATTGCTTTTGCTGTATCCCAGAGGTTTATAGGTTGTGTCACTATTATTGTTCAGTTCAAAGAATTTTTAAATTCCCATTTTGATTTCATCGTTGACCCAAAGATCACTCAAGAGCAGATTATTTAATTTCCATGTATTTGTAGAGTTTTGAGGATTTTTTGAAGTTATTTCCAGTTTTATTTCACTGTGGTCTGAGAAGATATTTGATATTATTTTGATTTTCTTAGATTTATGGAGATTTGTGGCCTATCATATGGTCTATCTTGGAGAATGTTCCATGTGCTGATGAGAAGAATGTATATTCTGCAGTTGTTGGGATGAATGTTCTGTAAATATATATGTCTGTTTATTCTAGGGTATAGTTTATATCCATTGTTTCTTTGTTGACTTTCTGTCTTGATGGCCTGTCTAGTGCTGTCAGTAGAGTATTTAAGTCCCCCACTATTATTGTGTTGCTGTCTATCTCATTTCTTAGGTCTAGGAGTAGTTGTTTTCTAAATCTGGAACCTCCAGTGTTAGGTTTTCTCTGTTTTTTTCTCTTTCTAACTAAGAGATTACTAATCACTGCATTAACAATTCCATAGAAATAACTTTGGTTTTGTTACTTTTCTCTATTGATCTTGTGTTTTCTATTTCACTGATTTCTTTTTAATTTCCATTTTTCCACTTACATTGATTTAATTTGCTCTTCTTCTTGCCTCTAAAAATGGATTTTAAATTTACAGTTTAAACCTATGGTTTAAATTCCTTCGTCTTTTCTAATATAAGCATTTAGAGCTATAAATTTCCCTCCAACTGCAATCTATAAATTTTGATATGTGCTATTAAGTTCAAAATATTCTCTAATTACCTTTTAATTTTTTCTTTGATCTATTTGTTGTTTAGAAGTGTGTTGCTTAATTTCCAAATACTTGGGGATTTTTCTGGAGTTCTTTTTGTTACTGATTTCTTATTTAATTTTTTGATTGAGGAAGATTAATTTCAATCTTTTTAGGCATGGTCAGACTTATTTTATGGCTCAGCATATGGTCAATCTTCATGTATGTTTCACATACGCTTGGAAAGACTGTTTTCTACAGTTGCTGGATGCAGTGTTTCTTAATGTCAGTTACATAAGGGTGGTTGTTCAGGAACATTCTGGATGGTGGTGAAAGTTCTGGCTTCCCATATGGCCTCTTCTAACATTACTCCAGGCAAGGATGGTGAGGGGGCACTTCGTTACTGCAGACTGAGGGTTCAGAATCCCTATAATATTCCCCAGTGATAGCAGGTATGGGGGTGTTTGATTACTGCTGATAGAAATGAAATTACTGGCTCCTCACTCAGTCCATTCTGAGAGCACTCCAGCAGGGGTAGGAGGCTGCGGTAGTGCAATTTTTGTCTAAAGGTTTTCTGTTTTCCTATGTTCCCCCTTTCTTGGTCCTTTGGCTAGACACAGCAGATTTTTCTTGAGGCTCCTTTTTGTCTTTTCTAGTTTTATGTTTTCACATTACCTACTTCTTCAGCACCTGATATAGGATATATAAGTGGGGGAGGAAACCAAGGACTCACTACCATGTCATTATTTAGGGTCTGAGATCTCATGCTGGTCTGTTTTCTTCTCTCCACCTTTCAAAGTCTTCTCAGATTTGTTTTATATGTGATATTCAGAGTTTTTGTTATTAGTGGTGGTGGGTTTTTTGCTTGGTTTGGGTTCTACAAGAACTTGGTGGGAAGAGTAGGAAGAAGTGCATTTACTACATCTTGGTCTGGTGACCTTCATTTTTGAAGGATGTTTTTGCTGGATTTCTAGATTGAAAGTTTTTTTCCTTACAGCAATTTAAATATCATTGCATCATCTTTTGACTTGCCCTGTTTCTGATAAGTTAGCAACCATTCTTATTGTGTCTCAAGTGAGTTTAATGCATCTTTTTTCTTCTAGTTGCTTTTAATATTTAATTTTCGTGATTGGTTTTTAGCAGTTTGAGAATGATGTGCTTTGGTGTGGTTTTCAATGTTTATCTTGCTTGAGTTTTGTTGATATTCTTGAATCTTTCATCTAAATTAGGAAATATTTGATCATAACATCTTCAAATATTTTTCTCTCCCATGTCTATTTCTTCTTTTAGTACTCCAATTGCATATATTTTAATCTTATTACTATTTTCCTACAGTTTAATTAGTCCCTCTTCATTGTTTAACCAGCATTTAAAAAAATAAATGCTTTAGTTTTGCTTTAGTTTGGATAGTTTTCCTAACCCTGAGTTCAAATTCACTGTTCCTTCCTTCTGCTGTGTTTAATCTGCCATTAAGCCCATGAAATAAATTTTTATTTTAAATGTTGTATTATTCAGTTCTAAAATTTCTATTTTTATGGGTCTCATTTCTCTCCTGAGTCCTATTTATTCTCTTATTATTTTTACATTTTCATTTAAATCCTTTATTGTATTTGTAATAATCCTTTATCATAATTATAATATTATCTATTAATTTAAACACTTCTGTCATTTCAGGATAATTTTTTATTAACACATGTTTTTCTTCTTATTTTTCACCTTTAATTGTTTCTGTACATATCTGACAGTGTTTTTGTAATATGCTGGGCATTATAAATGCTCTGTTGTTTGGTGTCTAGATTTTTTTTGTTATCCTTAATAAGTGTCAACTTTCGTTCTGGCAGACTGTTAATTTACTCTTGGAGATAAATTTTATCCTATTAAGGAGTGCTTTTAAAACTTTGTTAGGGTGGGTCTAAAACAACTTTTTCCCTAGAGCTAGATTAATTTACTCCTATGATATGATTTTGCTGGAGTCTCTATTGAATGCTCACGGCATTCAAGGAGGTATCTACACTCTGGCTGGAGGTCTTGCATGTCTCCCTGCTTGTGCAAAATCTAGCAGATGTTCATTTCACAGCTTCCAAGTAGATATTCTCTCTTTAGTGGTTCGATCTCAAAAGGTTGTTACTTGCTAGAACTAGTAGTTTCTTGCTCTGTACATGAATACTTAGTAGTTAACCAAAGCTTTAGGAATATTCCTGTACAGTTTTCTAGAGTTCAGTCTTCCCACAGCTCTCTTCTCTCTTTTACCCTCCTCTGCAAATTCTAGCTGCTTCAGTACTCCAGATTCCAATACCTGTCTTCTCAGTTCAGTGAAATCACTATGCTCTGTTCAAGCTTTGTTTCCTATTCACTACCATCCAGAAAGTGAGATTGGAGTGATTGTGAGGCTCACCTCAATTGGCCCCTTCTATTAGGAATCACAGACCTATGCTGCCTGTTGTCTAAGGTCTAAAAATGGCATTTCATATTTTTTCAGTTGTAAATTTATAAATGACGGGGGGATAAACTCATATTAGTTACTCATGGCTTACAGTACAATCATTTTAGAAAAGTTTTGTAAGGTCTATCAAAAGCTACAAAAATAAGCGTCTCTTATTGTCCCCCAAATATTATTATTTTTAGTTTTCATTCTTTTACAGACAGGGTGTCCCTTGTTGCCCAGGCTGGAGTGTAGTGGCATGATCACATCTCACTGCAACCTTGAAGTCTTGGGCTCAAGTGATCCTCCTGCCTCAGCCTCCCAAGTAATTAGGACTACAGGCACCCACCTCCAAGCCTGGATAATTTTTAAATTTTCTGTAGACGTTGGCTCAGGGGGAAACGTTTTGCTATGTTGCCCAGGCTTGTCTTGAACTCCTGATCTCAAGCTATCCTTCTGCCTAGGGCTCCCAAAGTGCTGGGATTGCAGGCAAGAGCCACTGTGCCCAGCCAAAAAAATATTATTTCTAAGAATGCATCTTACTCAAATTATCTAATGTAGAAAAAATATGCATGTACCAAGTTATTATAGTAGCAAATGAAAGTTAGGAGTCACCCAAATAATTGAAATATAGGCGTAGTTATGTAAATTACAGTTAACTCACTTAATGAAATAATACATTGGTCATTACGTGTTATATTTCACAAACTTTGATACAACATGAGAAATGTTCATATAGTATTAAATAAAAAGAGACATATTAAATTATTTGTACACTCTGATTATAGTTATAAAAAATCTACATAGGAAAAATATCAGCCAGCTCCAGGAAGAAAAGTGGCTCTAGAGAAAGAAGGCTGAATAATCAATGAAGCAGATCAACATTAATACACCAAATCAAATTTTCTGTAGCATAAGTTAAACAGGTGCGGTGGCTCAAGCCTGTAATCCCAGCACTTTGGGAGGCCAAGATGAGTGGATCACCTGAGGTCAGGAGTTTGAGACCAGCCTGATCAATATGGTGAAACCCCGTCTCTACTAAAAAATACAAAATTATCCAGGTGTGATGGTGCATGCCTGTAATCCAGCTACTTGAGAGGCTGAAGCAGGAGAATCCCTTGAACCCGGGAGGTGGAGGTTACAGTGAACCGAGATTGCACCACTGCATTCCAGCCTGGGTGACAGAGCAAGACTCCATCTCAAAAAAAAAAAAGAAAGGAAAAAAGCAAGGAAGCAAGCAAAATATCCCAAGATGTATACAAACTAAAGTAACTTTGTTAAGGTTGGTAGGATTTGGAAGACTTTTTTTTCCATCTAATTTCAAGTATCTTCTTTTTTTTTTTTTTTTTTTTGAGACTGAGTTTTGCTCTTGTTGCCCAGGCTGGAGTACAATGGTGCAATCTTGGCTCACTGCAACATTTGCCTCCTGGATTCAAGCGATTCTACTGCCTGAGCCTCCCAAGTAGCTGGGATTACAGGTGCCCACCACCAAGCCTGGCTGATTTTTTGTATTTTTAGTAAAGATGGGGTTTCACCATGTTGGCCAGGCTGGTCTCGAACTCCTGACCTCAGATGATCCACCCGCCTCGGCCTCCCAAAGTATCTTATTAGATGAACACTTTTTTTTTTCCTATAAATTTTAAGTTACAGAAGATGAGATGGAGTTTAGTGAGCATCTGGTTCAACACTGAAAAGAATGTTGAACAGCCAGGGCTCTGAATTTTCAGAAACATTGCCAGGTAAGTAAACAGAAAGGAAGAATTTTAAAATTTCATTAATAAGGACAAATCATGTGGAGTTTTGAGGATGGCTTATTAAGGCTTAGGAGCCTTTGAGAATGATAATTGCTGGATGGAGTTCAGGTGTACTGTTGAATGTGAGCTCATCAGGGACCAGTCAAACTTATCTACAGAGCTATTTTGTAGTCGTTGTGTTTATTTATTTGTTTTCTTCTTACTCAGGATTTGAAATGGGAGGATAGGGCAAAGGGAAGCATATCAAAAGAAAGTTCTAAAGGCTTAACCAATAGGTTTAGAGAAGAGTTAAAACCAGCCAGAGACTAAGAGAAAAATGGGGTGTGGAAGCCTCAATGTAAGGTGGTGCTGGAGGGAATCCATTTGTGGGATCACGTGATCACTGAAGTGTTAGCAAGTTAGTAACACAGAAGTGTTAGCAATTCAGTAACACCTGATTTAAACAAGAACATTCATCTCCCCATACTCACATACTGCTGTGTGATTTACTTTCCATGTAAATACACATGGTTCTGCACTACCAGTTGCTCTGGATTTTTAGTATAATTTTGGAATTATTTACTCATTTCATACTATTGTTTCTAATAATGGCTCAGGAGAATATTGCTTATTAACAAAGTGTGTATGATGATGGGTAATATTACAAAGCTCCAGGAAGAAAAGTGGCTCTAGAGAAAGAAGGCTGAACAATCAATGAAGCAGATGAACATTAATACACCAAATCAAATTTTCTCTAGCATAAGTTAAACAGCTTTGCCATTTAGAGAGCAATGCAGACTGTGGAGGAAAGTTTGTAAGTTGGTATTAGTTGTCGATCTAAGTAAATTTTGCCAAAATGCAGGAACCCACTGTAACTCTGATGAGGTGGCTCATTGCCTAACTATTAAGATTAGCTCAACTCAGAATTATGGCCAAGATCCAATATTCAACATTCTTAAAGAAAAGAATTTTCAACCCAGAATTTCATATCCAGCCAAACTAAGCTTCATAAGTGAAGAAGAAATAAAATCCTTTACAGACAAGCAAATGTTCAGAGGTTTTGTCACCACCAGGCCTGCCTTACAAGAGCTCCTGAAGGAAGTACTAAACATGGAAAGTAACAACTGGTACCAGCCACTGCAAAAACATGCCAAATTGTAAAGACCATCAATGCTAGGAAGAAACTGCATCAACTAACGAGCAAAATAACCAGCTAACATCATAATGACAGAATCAAATTGACACATAACAATATTAACCTTAAATGTAAATGGGCTAAGTGCTCCAATTAAAAGACACAGACTGGCAAATTGGATAAAGAGTCAAGATCCATCAGTGTGCTGTATTCAGGAAACCCATCTCATGGGCAGAGACACACATAGGCTCAAAATAAAGGGATAGAGGAAGATCTACCAAGCAAATGGAAAACAAAAAAAAGCAGAGGTTGCAATCCTAGTCTCTGATAAAACAGACTTTAAACCAACAAAGATCAAAAGAGACAAAGAAAGCCATTACATAATGGTAAAGGGATCAATTCAACAAGAAGAGCTAACTATCCTGAATATATATGCACCCAATACAGAAGCACCCAGATTCATAAAGCAAGTCCTTAGAGACCTACAAAGAGACTTAGACTCCCACACAATAAAAATGGGAGACTTTAACACCCCACTGTCAACATTAGACAGATCAATGAGGCAGAAAGTTAAGAAGGATATCCAGGACTTGAACTCAGCTCTGCACCAAGCGGACCTAATAGACATCTATAGAACTCTCCACCCCAAATCAACAGAATATACATTCTTCTCAGCACCACATTGCACTTATTCCAAAATTGACCACATAGTTGGAAGTAAAGCACTCCTCAGCAATGTAAAAGAACAGAAATTATAACAAACTGTCTATCAGACCACACAGTGCAATCAAATTAGAGCTCAGGATTAAGAAACTCACTCAATTCTGCTGAAATACATGGACACTGAGCAACCTGCTCCTGAATGACTACTGGGTACATAACGAAATGAAGGCAGAAATAAAGATGTTCTTTGAAACCAATGACAACAAAGACACAACATACCAGAATCTCTGGTACATATTTAAAGCAGTGTGTAGAGGGAAATTTATAGCACTAAATGCCCACAAGAGAAAACAGGAAAGATCTAAAATCGACACCCTAACATCACAATTAAAAGAACTAGAGAAGCAAGAGCAAACACATTCAAAAGCTAGCAGAAGGCAAGAAATAACTAAGATCAGAGCAGAACTGAAGGAAATCTTCAAAAAAATCAATGAATCCAGGAGCTGGTTTTTTGAAAAGATCAATAAAACTGATAGACTGCTAGCAAGACTAATAAAGAAGAAGAGAGAAGAATCAAATAGACACAATAAAAAATGATAATGGGGATATCACCACCGATCCCACAGAAATACAGACTACCATCAGAGAATACTATAAACACCTCTACACAAATAGACTAGAAAATCTGGAAGAAATGGATAAATTCCTGGACACATACACCTTCCGAAGACTAAACCAGGAAGAAGTTGAATCCCTGAATAGACCAATAACAGGCTCTGAAATTGAGGCAATAATTAACAGCCTACCAACCAAAACAAGTCCAGGACCAGATGGATTCACAGCCGAATTTTACGAGGAGTACAAAGAGGAGCTGGTACTATTCCTTCTGAAACTATTCCAATCAATAGAAAAAGAGGGAATCCTCCCTAACTCATTTTATGAGGACAGCATCATCCTGATACCAAAGCCTGGCAGAGACACACACAAAAAAGAGAATTTTAGACCAATATCCCTGAGATGAACATCGATGTGAAAATCCTCAATAAAATACTGGCAAACCGAATCCAGCAGCACATCAAAAAGGTTATCCACCATGATCAAGTGGGCTTCATCCCTGGGATGCAAGGCTGGTTCAACATACACAAATCAATAAACCTAATCCATCATATAAACAGAACCAAAGACAAAAATCACATGATTATCTCAATAGATGCAGAAGAGGCCTTTGACAAAATTCAACAGCTCTTCATGCTACAAGTTCTCAATAAACTAGGTATTGATGGATCATATCTCAAAATAATAAGAGCTATTTATGACAAACCCACAGCCAATATCATACTGAATGGGCAAAAACTGGAAGCATTCCCTTTGAAAACTGGCACATGACAGGGATGCCCTCTCTCACCACTCCTATTCAACATAGTGTTGGAAGTTCTGGCCAGGGCAATCAGGCAGGAGAAAGAAATATAGGATATTCAATTAGGAAAAGAGGAAGTCAAATTGTCCCTGTTTGCAGATGATAGGACTGTATATTCAGAAAACCCCATTGTCTCAGCCCAAAATCTCCTTAAGCTGATACGCAACTTCACCAAAGTCTCAGGATACAAAATCAATGTGCAAAAATCACAAGCATTTCTATCCACACCAATAACAGACAAACAGACAGCCAAATCATGAGTGAACTCCCATTCACAATTGCTTCAAAAAGAATAAAATACCTAGGTATCCAACTTACAAGGGATGTGAAGGACCTCTTCAAGGAGAACTACAAACCACTGCTCAACGAAATAAAAGAGGACACAAACAAATGAAGAACATTCCATGCACATGGATAGGAAGAATCAATATCATGAAAATGGCCATATTGCCCAAGGTAATTTATAGATTCAGTGCCATCCCCATCAAGCTACCAATGACTCTCTTCACAGAACTGGAAAAAACTACTTTAAAGTTCATATGGAACCAAAAAAGAGCCCACATTGCCAAGACAATCCTAAGCCAAAAGAACAAAGCTGGAGGCATCATGCTACCTGACTTCAAACTATACTACAAGGCTACAGTAACCAAAACAGTGTGGTACTGGTACCAAAACAGAGACATAGACCAAAGGAACAGAACAGAGCCCTCAGAAATAATACCACACATCTACAACCATCTGATCTTGACAAACCTGACAAAAACAAGAAATGGGGAAAGGATTCCCTATTTAATAAATGATGCTGGGAAAACTGGCTAGCCATACGTAGAAAGCTAAAACTGAATCCCTTCCTTACACCTTATACAAAAATTAATTCAAGATGGATTAAAGACTTAAATGTTAGACCTAAAACCATAAAAACCCTAGAAGAAAACCTAGGCAATACCATTTAGGACATAGGCATGGGCAAGGACTTCATGACTAAAACACCAAAAGCAATGGCAACAAAAGCCAAAATTGACAAATGGGATCTAATTAAACTAAAGAGCTTCTGCACAGCAAAAGAAACTACCATCAGAGTGAACAGGCAATCTACAGAATGGGAGAAAAGTTTTAAAATCTACCCATCTGACAAAGGGCTAATATCCAGAATCCACAAAGAACTTAAACAAATTTACAAGAAAAAAATCAAACAACCCCGTCAAAAAGTGCGTGAAGGATAGGAACAGAAACTTCTCAAAAGAAGACATTTATGCAACCAACAGATACATGAAAAAATGCTCATCATCACTGGCCATCAGAGAAATGCAAATCAAAACCACAATGAGATACCATCTCACACCAATTAGAATGGCGATCATTAAAAAGTCAGGAAACAACAGGTGCTGGAGAGGATGTGGAGAAATAGGAACACTTTTACACTGTTGGTGGGACTGTAAACTAGTTCAACCATTGTGGAAGTCAGTGTGGCGATTCCTCAGGGATCTAGAACTGGAAATACCATTTGACCCAGCCATCCCATTACTGGGTATATACCCAAAGGACTATAAATCATGCTGCTATAAAGACACATGCACACGTATGTTTATTGCGGCATTATTCACAATAGCAAAGACTTGGAACCAACCCAAATGTCCAACAATGATAGACTGGATTAAGAAAATGTGGCACATATACACCATGGAATACTATGCAGCCATAAAAAATGATGAGTTCATGTCCTTTGTAGGGACATGGATGAAATTGGAAATCATCATTCTCAGTAAACTATCACAAGAACAAAAAACCAAACACCGCATATTCTCACTCATAGGTGGGAATTGAACAATGAGATCACATGGACACAGGGTGGGGAACATCACACACTGGGGCCTGTCCTGGGGTGGGGGTAGGGGGGAGGGATATCATTAGGTGATATACCTAATGTAAATGATGAGTTAATGGGTGCAGCACACCAACATGGCACATGTATACATACGTAACAAACCTGCACATTGTGTACATGTTCCCTAGTACTTAAAGTATAATAAAAAAAAATGTAAAAAGTCAATGGTTTAAGAAAAATAAAGCCCATGATGTTTAAACCATTCAATAAACCAGTTTTAAAAAATAAGAATCATGGCCAAGATTTTTCTGCAGATGTGCTGGGAGAATGGGGTGCCTTTAATCCACTGCTGGCCCTGTTATACTCCTCTCCGCTGTCTTTATTCCCCATTTTTGTAGGTTTAAAAAATATTTAATTGTGGTAGAAAACACATAACATAAAATTTATCAGCCAGGCATGGTGGCTCACCCCTGCAATCCCAGCACTTTGGGAGGCCGAGGTGGGTGGATCACCTGAGGTCGGGAGTTTGAGACCAGCCTGACCAACATGGAGAAACCCTGTCTCTACTAAAAATACAAAATTAGCCGGGCTTGGTGGTGCCTGCCTGTTATCCTAGCTACTCAGGAGGCTGAAGCAGGAGAATCGCTTGAACCTGGGAGGCGGAGGTTGCGGTGAACTGAGATCGCGCCATTGCACTCCAGCCTGGGCAAAGAGAGTGAAACTCCGTCTCAAACAAACAAACAAACAAACAAAAATTACAATTTTAACCATATTTAAGTGTACAAGTCAGAAATGTCAAGTACATTCATGTTGTTGTACAGTGAATATTGTAAAGTTCTTTCATCTTGGAAAGCTGAAACTCTATGCCAATTAAACAAGAACTCAATAGGATAATTTATTTATTAATTAATGCCTACTAAGTAACTCGTAAGTAAGTAACTTGTAAGTAAGATGGCTTGCATTTAAAATATTTTAAAGCACAGAATAAATCTTTGTTCTTAATATAAAAATTGGAAGATACAGATAAGCAAAAAGAAAAAATCTATAATTCAATAGTAAATTGAATTACATCTCATGTACATCTGTGTATTTGAAGACTTTTCCTAAGCAAAAGTGGAATCTTGCTTCCATACCTTTTTTTAAACAATATATCCTGAACATCTTTCCATGTCAACAGAGATCTCCATCATCACTATCTTTAAGGCATGTGCCATGGGAGGGATGTGTCATACTTTATATAAGCAACATCACTAAGCTGGCCCTCTTTTATCTGCTAGTGTGGACAGTTTGATGCTTTTTTTTTTTTTTTTTTTGAGACGGAGTCTCGCTCTGTCGCCCAGGCTGGAGTGCAGTGGCGCGATCTCGGCTCACTGCAAGCTCCGCCTCCCGGGTTCACGCCATTCTCCTGCCTCAGCCTCCCGCGTAGCTGGGACTTACAGGCGCCCGCCACCACTCCCGGCTAATTTTTTTGTATTTTTTTAGTAGAGACGGGGTTTCACCTTGTTAGCCAGGACGGTCTCTATCTCCTGACCTTATGATCCGCCCACTATGGCCTCCCAAAGTGCTGGGATTACAGGCGTGAGCCACCGTGCCTGGCAGTTTGATGCTTTTTAACAAATCTTCATAAGTAACAATAAAACCTTACCTGTAAAAACAAAGCTGTAATGCTGAGATTTCAGATACAATGCAAGTGGGGAGAGATAAAGATTTGGGTGAGAGGTTTTTCAGTGACTTCAACCCCTCTTGCACACTGTGTCTTTGAAAACCGGGTCTCCCACAGGTCTGGCTCTCTTTAGTAGGTCATTCTCAGAGCCTCAGGGACTGCCCACAAAGCAGGAACTCACCTGCTAGCAGGTTTGTTCACACTTACATTGCCCTTGGTCATTCTCTCTTCTTACACACTGCCTCCACTCTCACTGCCATACTTATTCTTCTACACTAAAAAAAACTGCTTTCTCTCAAATGTTACCACACAGGTTTAAAGATGGGGAGCCTCACACTGTCTGCAGAGGTTCTGGTTAGAAGGAGTGTCTTAAGAAATGCACAAAAAGGCCAGTCTCTTGCCTTCTTTGTCCCTAATCTCCCATAGAGAGGGAGTAACATAAACATCTCCTGATGCACTGAAAAGCTTTGTGCTGACTCATGAGATGTGAAGTACAAAGTAATGAAGGAACAAAAAGGCACAATCTACATATTACCAGTTTTTAAGAAACTAGGTTCTAGGCCTTCAGGGAGAGAGAAGAGAGAGAGGAGTGGAGAGGTGGGGAGAGGACATTCTCAGAAGCAAGGAAGTCTCTTTTGGAAGTGCAATTCTTTCTCGGGAGCTATCTACCCTGGAAGGGACGGACCAGCCCGCTGTCACTCCCAAGCTGGCCCAATGTGTTGTGAGCACAGGTTAAACTTCATAGCGACCTGTGATCTGTCCATGGTGCTACTGAGGAGAGCCTGAAATCAAGATGCTCTGATTATAGCCCTTGTCCGGCACCCTCACCTATAAAATGGGTATCTCAACACCTCCACTTGCAGAGCTGTTAAACGGATACAACCATGATAACAATGAATGTTAACTGAGAGTCACAGTGTGCCTGTGTACATACATACCCGGCTATGTATTTCCCTTATATGACCTCATTAGAACTCACTGCAGCCCTATGTGCAGTATTCAAGGCCTTAAACAAAAGAGAAAACCAAGCCGAGAGAGGCTCTCTGACTTACTTCAAGTCACACAGTAGGTAAGAGAGGCAACTGGGATTTTGTCCCAGGCTGCTTGACTCCCAAGTCCTTGTGCCTGACCATCTCACTCCATGACATAAGGCACCTCCTGCCAGGCCATGCTCACAAGAGTTGACCAACAGACTTAGCTCTCCTTTCTCTTCTAGTGAGTTCACTGTTCAACTCCAGGCCCCAGCCTCTGACATCAAGCTCTGGATTGTCTGCTGACTAAAGTGCTAGAAGACAAAGAAACTGAATAGAAGGAAGGCTCGTGGGACCCCTGCATTCTGCTTGCTTATTCTTAGAGGCCACCCCTCCACAGAAGACTTCTTAGGTTGGTTTTGAAGGGGTAGTTTTCTCATTATTTAAAAACACAGACTCCCCTATGCCTGAATTTCCCATAGATTAGAGCCCTTTTCCTGCTTAGGAACTTCCAACAGCCGTCTCCTGGCATTTCTTTGCTTGCATTTGGAAATTCTCTCCACTTAGACTCCACTGAAATGATCCAAACTCATCTTCTTTTATGCCAGAGCACACACTCTCCTCTGGTGGTCCTTGTGTCACGCAATCTCATTCCATCTCTGGCCAGCACTGTCTGATAGAAACAGGCGACAAGCTGTGAATGTAATTTTAAATTTTCTAATAGTCACACTTAAAAAGTAAAAAAAAGAAAATGATAAAATTAATTATAATAATCTGTTTTATATAACCCAGCATATCCAATAGATTACCTTTTCAAGATGATGTAATCACATAAAATTACAAATGAGATATTATACAATCTTTTTTTCATATTAAGTCCTTGACATTTGGTGTGTATTTTGCGCTGAGGGTGCATCTCCATTTGAATTAGGCATACATCTAGAACCCGGTGTTACGTATGGCTTGTGCCTACTATGCTGGAATTGTAGGTCCAGTCTTTTGTTCACGTTCATTCCCCATGTGTAAAATCTCTCTTCTCCCCCTCAGCTAAGTGAAATCCTAAACATCACTCAAGGCTCAGCTCCAGCTGTGCTTCTGAAAGGAATCTCCTCGAACTCAGTCAACACGTGTTCGTCTCCCCTTGACTGTGTCCAGGCCTGCAGTTACGCTTTTAAACATTTCCCTCCAGATAGCATCATCTCTGCCCCTTCACGCTAACACTGTCCTAACTCCACTGAAGCCCAGGGCACTCCTCACTGCACTTCTTTGCAGCAGTTCTCACTGGGTTCCTTATTACTTCTCTGGACTCTCCCAGTACCCTCATTCCTGATCACCTCTCCTTCTCAACACTCTCTTACCTTCACCTGCAAGCCCACATTCTCCTGACTTTCTTTCTCCCACTCTGACCACTTCTTAATATCATATGGGGTCTTCTATTCTGCTTCCATCGCTCATATATTTTCTTTTAGATCTGACCCAGCTCGCTACTCCTTTTCTTCTCTCTCCTTAGTCTCCGTTTGGACAATGTCATCAATACCTTAGATTTCAGGTATTATAGATAAGCAGAGTCTATTCCTATCTTCACCTGCAGCCTAAATTTCTTCCTTTATATTCAGGTCAGAAAATACAATTACATAAGTAGGGGAGAAAAAGTGTATCTTTTCCTCACCCAATATGAGAGTAATGGCTGAGACCCCTATAACAGAAGACAGGTTAAAAAGAGAAGAGCATATAATAAATTTATTTTATTAGTTTTATGTGGCAAGAGTACCCTCAGAAATGAAGAACCAAAGGAATGGGAAGATCCATGTATTTTTATGGACAGTGGTGCAGAAGTATGACTGGAGAAAAAAAGTATGATCTAAAGGGGGGAACTTAGGAAGGCCTATTTGTTCAGTTTCTTCCTGGGGTTCCTGCGTGACATTCCTTTCCTCTGGGGATAGAACAGGATACCTGACACATGAGGGTATTCAGAGGAAAGGAGGAGATCAGAGTCACCTTCCTAGGTTTGATGGTCTGCTTTAAGGAAGAAGGGGTAAGGAGAATGTTAGTTCCTATGTGTCCCACTTCAAGGGAGAAAGGAGTGAGAGAAGATCAGAGGGACTTCCAGCTTCTGCTGTTTTCTCAATTTCCAAGGCACCACATTTTGGGGTGGCATTTCCCACACCCCATCACATACTTGACATGTCATTAGATTTGTCAATCTAACCCCAACACACATACATGTTTGCACACACACTCACAGCACACCTATTTCTCCATTTGTCTCTGGTACACACATCCACACTGTTACCTAATCCAGAATCCTAGAGCCATGCTTGATTCCTTCTTCTCCCTCACTTCCCATATCCCATGTCCAATATCCAATCCACCAGCAGTTCAGGAATGCTCTAACTTCAAAAACTATCTCAAATGCGCCTCTTCTCTTCATCTTCTGGCAGGAACCTTAGTCCAAGCCAAAATATTTCCCACCTGGACTTTTATTTTTGGACTGCTTTCCTTGCTTCAAGTTCAAAGTCCCTTCCATAGTCCTCATAATCTAGCCCCAAGCCCGTCTCCAACCTCATCTTCTACCTTTCTTCTCTTTCAAAACACACCAAGCCTGCAGATCTTCTGTTATTAAAAGGTACAGTTTGTTGTAGTACAATTCACAGCACATGAGAATCCTCTTAATTTCATTGTGTTTTTGAGGCTTGGTCTCACTCTGTCACCCAGGCTGGAGTACAGTGGCTTGACCATGGCTCACTGCAGCCTCAACCTGCTGGGCTCAAGCAATCTCCTGGCACAGCCTCCCAAGTAGCTGGGTCTACAGGCACATGCCACCACACCCAGCTGATTTTTTTATTTCTTTATTTTTGTAGAGTTAGGTGTTTCCCTGTTTTGCCCAAGCTGGTGCAGCAAAAACATTTAAACTCCTGGGCTCAAGCAACCCTCCCAATATGGCCTCCAAAGTGCTGGGATTACAGGTGTAAGCCACTGCACCTGGCCTAGTCTTAATTTCAAGACAGTGGGAATTCATTACTTCCTAGACAAATCAAAGTGCTTAGTCCTCAGACTTGGCAACAGAGCCCTGGGCAGCCTCAGATTTGTTTTTATGTACTCCTGGGTAAGTCATTGAGGGTAGAAATAAAATGGTAGAAGAGACCTTAACAGCATTTCCCATATTTGGGGCTGGATTATAATTCATGCTATTCCCCAGAAAAAAAAAATGGTCTTTTTTCCCAAAATCTCTAGAGAAGGGTACACCACAGCCACTTTTAATGTTTGTTGACCTTTTCAGCGAGGAGGTTCTAATTCCAAACTCAAGTCCCTTCAGCTCTAGTTCAGCCTCAGCAGGTGCCAAGGTGTGCGCAAAAACATTTAAGAGACACAGCGGGTACTACTTCAGGCAACCCCCAACAAAATGGTGAATGGTGTGAAAGTTAGAGGAGAGGACTTTAAGGGACGCTTCAGGTTTGAGGTGTGTCTGAGAGAGGGACAAGAGTAGTGGTGAAGAGGACAGGGTTTGTAAGGCAGAAAATATATTTTTATTCTTTTCTTTGAAGTGTGAGACTTGCAAATTCACATGGATACAATTGTAGACTTACTCTAAATACGTTTAGAAAAAATATATATATATATATATTGCAAGACAGTCTCATTCTGTTGCCCAGGCTGGAGTGCAGTGGCACTCCATAGCTCATTGCAGCCTAGAACTCCTGGGCTCAAGTGATCCTCCCGCCTCAGCCTCCCAAGTAGCTGCAGTAATACAAGTGCATACCACCATGCCCAGTTAATTTTTTTAAATATATTTTTGTACAGACAGGGTCTCACTTGTATACTGCCCAGGCTAGTCCTGAACTCCTGGTATCAAGTGATCCTCTCGCCTCAACCTCCCAAGTGTGGGGGTTACAGGTGTGAGCTACTACACCCAGCCCAAGGACTGTTTTTCTTTTTTTTTTTTTTTGAGACAGAGTCTCGCTTTGTCACTCAGGATGGAGTGCACTGGTGCCATCTCAGCTCACTGCAACCTCTGCCTCCTGGGTTCAAGCAATTCTCCTGCCTCAGCCTCCCAAGTAGCTGAGACTACAGGCACGTGCCACCATGCCTGGCTAATTTTCGTGTTTTTTTGTTTTTTTTTGTTTTTGGAGATGGTGTCTCGCTGTGTCGCCCAGGCTGGAGTGCAGTGGAGCAATCTCGGCTCACTGCAATCTCCACCTCCCGGGTTCAAGCAATCCTGCCTCAGCCTCCCGAGTAGCTGGGACTACAGGTGCACGCTGCCACACCTAATTTTTTTGTATTTTTAGTAGAGATGGGGTTTCACCATGTTGCCCAGGCTGGTTTTGAACTCCTGAGCTTGGACAATCTGTCCGCCATGGCCTCCCAAAGTGCTAGGATTACTGGCGTGAGCCAATGTGCCCCTCCTAATTTTTGTATTTTTAGTAGAGACGGGGTTTTGCCATGTTGGCCAGGCTGGTTTCGAGCTCCTGACCTCAGGTGATCCATGCACCTTGGCCTCCCAAAGTGTTGGGATTACAGGCGTGAGCCACTGTGCCCAGCCCCAAGAACTGTTTTAAGAGGAAGCATAAGAATTAACTATGAGGCTTCATGGTAAAGATTTGATTCATGAGAAGATCCAGATGCCAGGCATAGTGGCTTACACCAGTAATCCCAGCACTTTGGGAGGCCAAAGCGGGCAGATCATCTGAAGTTAGGAGTTCGAGACCAGGCTGACCAACATGGTGAAACCCTGTCTCTATTAAAAATACAAAAATTAGCCGGGCATGGTGGCGCGTGCCTGTAATCCCAGCTACTCAGGAGGCTGAGGCAGGAGAATCGCTTGAACCCGGGAGGCAGAGGTGGCAGTGAGCCGAGATTATGCCAATGTACTCCAGCCTGGGTGACAGAGCGAGACACCATCTCAAAAAACAAAACAAAACAGAGAGGTCAAATAAGGTACAGCGTCCTGTTCCATTTTCCCTACCCAACCCCAAATCTGTGTCAGGAAGTACCAGAGATTGAATCCTTAAAGGGTGGGTACTCATATTTTATATCCATAAACCAACACCCCGTTTCCCCCCACATTACCTCCCCAGCGAGATAAGTAGCAGGAAACTTCCCCATTTGGTTAACTGAGTTTCCCTTTTGCTATCCGCAAAGCCGGGCCCATTCTTCCTAGGGGTGATGGAGTATGATTATAAATTTCCATTAATCAACAAAGTCAGTTGGAGTTTTATATTCCCCCTCTTCAGGGTAGAAGCTTCATGCTGAAGACGGAATTTAAAAGACCATTTTGATGTCTTATTGCTTCCACTATTTTTCAAAAATAACAATTGCCCAGAACGTACCAGCTTCCAGCTGTTATCTTTCAGTCTGGTTCACAGGCGATGCTGCATTAAAAATTCAAGTTCGGTAAAGATGCCTTCACGGCATTGTCTCATTTCTGTATTTTAACAATGATAAAATATGAAATTTGAGCTGGAAGCAATATTACGATTTTGATATCAGCGACTCTGCACATGTGGTTTTACCTCCCACGTTCCTCCTTCCCCTCCAGAGGAAGTTTTCTTAAAGATTTTTCAGCAGGCAGATTTATTACGCGTCATGATTTGGGGATTATCTGTTGGACAGTTTTGCTATTTTTTTCTGATACCAGAAACTAAAAAGAGCAGATCATTTGGCTTTCAGGGACATATACTACATTGTAATCACTTCCACACTGTGAATACAATCTGCAGTAACACAAATGTAATTCCTGTCACTAATTGAAAGACTCCCTTTTCATGGAGCTTATGTAGAAATATCAGATTGTTCTGAATGTCTTTTGAGGCTATTTTTCACCAGATGCTTTTTTGGTTGTGAGAGGATTAGTGGGATTCTCTAGTCCAATAAACTGTTATCTCCAAAGAATATTTCTGATGGGGCATCGCAATGACATGCAGTCATGTTTTAATTTTAATACAGACGGCAGAATCTGAAAAGTACATTCTGGCACATGGAGACAGATGTTTCTCCCTTCAAACATTGCCAGAAACAATTTGACCCCTTTATAATCATGTTTCAATTACCTGCTTTTTTCTTTCTCTCTCTTTCCCTTCACTCTCCCTTCATCTTTTTCTCCATTCTTTTATTTTATTCTGTTCCTCCCTCAGATTCTCTCTTTCCTGCCAACTTTTCATTTCATGCTGTTTTACAGTTCGCTTCATATTTTCCATTTTTCCTTTAAAAAAATCTTCTGTCAAAGCCTTAGACTGCCACTAAGAACCTAGCATTCCTTGATCATATAGAAAGTAGGATATGAAATAATAGACTAGCGCTACACTGTAATAATCATCTTCATTTCTCTTGTAGGACATTGCCTTGCTGTGGTTCTGCACCAGTTGCTATGTCTGGATATGAAATAATTCTAGCGAGATCCTCGTTAAAATGCTAAGCAAAAGCAAAGCTTTATGAAGCACATAATATTCATACAAGTTTAAGAAAAATATCCATCCATTTGGAGAACAAATGTTTTTGAAACTCTATGCAAACTCTTAATTACGATACATTTTTACTTTTCATTATAGTAGGTTCTTAGAGGACTTTTACTTCATAGCATTTTATACCTGAGTTATTGTTATTATTGAAAGAAAATTGAAATAAATTTCACAATCCTTTGCCATATATCATTTTAACTATTTAACACTGTTTCTCCCTGAAGACATTACACGTTTTTGGATTGTTACTATGTTAGGTTGCTTCCTGGCCAGCCCCTCTCTCAAAGTCATGAACGGTGAGCTCTTGATCCAGAGAAATCAAATCTTTAAAGGTAAACTCAATAAAATAATGTCACTTTGTTCAAAGAAAAAGCAGATGAAATATCTTAATGAGAGTTATCAACTAAGCAAATATTTATTGAGAATCTACGCGGTTCTTTTGAGGCCCATGTCTTTGTAGTGTTCTGTCATAGTAAGAGGTCCAGCTACTCTGAAGCTGCCATGCTGTGATGTCCAGGCCACGTGGAGAGGCCGTGTGAACCTGCTCCAGCCAATAGCTGAGGTCCCACGCAACAGCTCGCATCAACTGCCAGACAGGAGTGAAGACTCCTCCAGAGAACTTCAGCCTCCAGCCATTGATTCATTCATAGCCTTCAAGCCCTTCCCAGCTGAGGCACAAGACATTGTGGAGTGCAGTGCAGTAGCTGAATTCCTGACCCACAGAAACTACGGGCATAATAAAGGGATTGCTGTATGCCACTAGGTTTTGGGGTGGCTTGTTATATGGCAACAGTAACTGGGACTGATTTTGGTACCAGGACTGGGGTGCTACCATGGCCAAAAAAAAGCTAAAACATTGTAGCATTGGCTTTGGGACCAGGCAGCCTTGAGGAGACTGTCAATGAAGGATTAAAGGATCCTGAAAAGAATTTTAGTGAAAGGTGGAGGGGCATCAATGGTAATATTGGCAGAAGTCTCAAGGGCCTTGAACATGCCCCTGTCTTTCTTCCCAGAGGTAACTGACTTTGCTACTTGCATTTCCACACAGCTTTTATACTATTATTACATATAAGTATCAAAAATAATTTAGGCCGGGTGTGGTGGCTCACGCTCGTAATCCCAGCACTTTGAGAGGCCGCGGCGGCAGATCTGAGGTCAGGAGTTTGAGACCAGCCTGGTCAACATGGTGAAACCCCATCTCTACTAAAAATACAAAACTTAACTGGGCGTGGTGGCGGGTGCCTGTAATCCCAGCTACTTGGGCAGCTGAGGCAGGAGAATTTCTTGAACCTGGGAGGCGGAGGTTGCAGTGAGCCAAGATAAAACCATTGCACTCCAGCCTGGGCAACAAGAGCAAAACTCTGTCTCAAAATAATAATAATAATAATAATAATAATAATATAGATCATTTTGCTTTATTTTGAACTCTATATAAATGTTATATACAATGTTTGACATTTTGCAACTAGCTTCT